>NC_000009.12:30161515-30313030 GCF_000001405.40 Homo sapiens | reverse complement strand
ATGGGGCATTGCTATAAAGATACCTGAAAATGTGGAGGCAACATTGGAACTGGGTAACAGGTAGAGGTTGGAAGAGCTTGCAGGGCTGAGCAGAAGATGGAAAGATGAGAGAAAGTTTGGAACTTATTAGAATCTGGTGAAATGGTTGTGAACAAAATGCTGATAGTAATATGGACAGTGGAGTCCAGGACGAGGAGGTTTCAGATAAAAATGAGGAAATTATTGGGAACTGAAGCAGGGGTCAACAGTTACTATCCCTTAGCAAAGACCTTGGCTGCATTGTGTTCATGCCATGCCCTAGGGATCTGTGGAAGTTTGAACCTAAGAGGGATGATTTAGGCTATCTGGCAGAATAAATTTTTAAGCAGCAAAGCATTCAAGAAGTAATCTGGCTGCTTCTAACAGCCTATACTCAGATGCAGTGACAAAGAAATGACTTCATGCTGTAAAATCTGCAGTCTGGCCATGTGACAGAGAATGAAAAAGCTTTTTGGGAGAGAAATTTAAGCAGGCTGCAGAGAAAGTGCTTGCTAGATAAATGTTCCTAAGTCAAAGGGACCCAAGAGCTAATAATCAAGATAATGAGAAAAAAAAAAAGGCCCTTGGAGGCATTTCAGAGATGTTCACAGCTGCCCCTTCCATCACAAACCCTGAAGCCTAAGAGTATTGAATGGTTTTGTGTGCCAGGCCCAGGGCTCCACTGTCTTGTGCAGGCATGGGACACCACTCTCCACATCCTGGAGTTTCCAGCTCCAGCCTTGGCTCAGAAAGGCCCAGGTATAGGTCAGGCTACCACTTTAGAGGATGCAAACGGTAAGCATTAGCAGCTTCCTCATGGTGTTAAGCCTGTAGGTGCACAGAGTGCAAGAGTTGAGGCTTGGAAGCTTCCACTGAGATTTCAGAGGATGTATAAAAAAGCCTGGATATCTAGGAAGAAGCCTACTCCAAGGGCAGAGCCTTCACAGAGAATGTCTACTAGGGCAGTTTGGAGGGGAAATGTGGGCTTGGAGGCCCCACACTGGGGCACTGCCTAATGAGATATGGGAAGGGGTCGCTGTCCTCCAGATCCCATTATGATAGATCCATTGGCAACTTATATTGCAGCATGGAAAACCTGCACCCACTCACTTCCAGTCTATTAGAGTAGCCATGCAGTCTTAACCCTGCAAAACCACAGAGGTGCAGCTTCCCAAAATCTTGGAAGCTCACTTCTTGCACCAGTGTGCTTTTGATGTGGAACATGATATCAAAGAGATTATTTTGGAACTTTGAGGATTAATGACAGCTCTGCTGCATTTCAAACTTGGATGGGGCCTGTTTCACCTTTCTATTGGCTGATTTCTCTGCTTTGGAATGGGAATGTTTACCTAATGCCTATGCCTACATTGTATTTTGGGAGTAAATAATTTGTTTCATTTTACAAGTTCATAGGTGGAAAGGACTTGTCTTTTCTCAGATGAGACTTTGGACTTCTGACTTTTGATTGAGTGGATGTTGGAATGAATTAAGTCTTTAGGGGACAGTTGTGAAGGCATAATTGTATTTTGCAATGTGAGAAGGACATGAAATTTAGGGGGCCAGGAGCAGAATGATACAGTTTAAATATGTGTCCCATCAAATCTCATGTTGAATTAGATCCCCGGTGTTGGAGATGGGGCCTGGCAGGAGCTGTTTGAGTCATGGAGGCGGAACTCTTATGTCTTTGTGCTTTGCTAGATATAGTGAATTACGTCTCACAATATCTGGTCATTTAAAAGTATGTGGCTCTTCCTCACCTATTCTCTTGCTTCTGCATTTGCCATGGGAAATGCCTACTCCAGATTTGCCTTCCACCATTAGTAAAAGCTCCCTGAGGCCTCTCCAGAAGCCGAGCAGATGCCAATGGTATGTTTGTATAGCTTGCATAACGGTGAGTAGATTAAACTCCTTTGCTTTCTAAATTGCCCGGTCTCAGGTATTTCTTTATAGCAACATCTTTATAGCAACACAATAACCGACTAATACAGACATTGTGTCTTCTTCCAAATATTGTATTTTTAACTTTAAGGGCAATACAGATTCATTTAACAGATTTTAGCTGTGTAAGTTAAAAAGTTAAATTTCTTCTCACTCAGTCATAATGTGCAATTTCACTTCCCCTAAAACCTACTAGTTTGGTTGGTACAATAAATTAATGATTTTTACTATGCATCCTTCTTTATATTTATATATGTATATGCAATATTGTAGCCTTTTCTATTGTTATTTGATGATTTAAATGGCTGTAAGTTATTCAATGCAATGGAAGTAGCATAATGTGTTTCACCATATCTCTAATAAGCCACTGTGACAAATGAATAAACTGCTGAAGTACACACACACACACACACACACACACACACACACACACACACGTTTTTGCATAAGAGTTTCTGTAATCTAGGTTCCTGGAAATGTAATTGCTGGACCACATAATATGTGGGTTTTTAAAAATTAATAATGACTGGACTTGCATTAAATTTATTCATGAGAATAAACATAATTAAAATTATATTGTCTTATTCAGATAATTTTTGTTTCTTCACATATTCTCATTTATGTTCTACAGAAAATTTTATTAGCTTTCCTATAAATATCTTGCACATTTATTTTTAGTTTAATGCAAAGTAGTTTAAAATTGGGTTGCTATGAGATGATTTTCATTATATGCTAAATTTTACTATGGATATTTCATTATGACAACGGAGGTTAACTGGCATACTTTAAATACTATTGCCCATATCATTTTAGCCAGATAATATTTTGACATTTTGCTTTTTTATCTTTAGATGATAGAAAAACAGTTGAGTATATATACATATATATATTTATATATATATACAACAAAATATATATATATATGTTAGAGATCGGTGTGGGAAAGGGAGAGAATATAGTTATTTGAAATTTCAGTTCCTTTTAAAAAGAGACTTGGAAAAAGCCTTCAAATATTTATTCTACTAATAAAGTTTTTGAGGTACCTGGAACATAGTGGAAAATCATGTAAGATTATATAATTAAATAAATGATTTCAGGAATGAAAATTAAATTAATGACTATCTAACTAAATATTTTCCTTGTCAGTACAAATAGTTGTCTGTGGCTGAGATTATCTGCTATCCATCAACACATCCTCTCTCTCACTTCTAGATAACATGGCTAGACTTCATTTTCTTTCAAGTTTTTCTTGCAGTTATATATGGCTATGTGACTATTTATCTCCATTGAAATTAATAACATTAGCCCCAAGTTTGTTTGTGTGTCCTCTTGACTCTTTTCTCATTTTTATTGGCTACAGCCTGAACATAGTGGAAATTACACATTGAATATGCAGTACCCTTGGTAATAACAATGAATATTTTATACTATCTACCGTTCACACAATGCTGGCATCATCTACTTATTGTTTTATATTTGCTTTGGTTTTAGTCAAGTTTATTAAGCTACAATTTTCATAAAGGAGATTTCACAATTTTGAATATAAACTTTTAAGAGTTTTGATATATTTATGCATTCATATAGCCATTATTATTTTCAAGTTAAAGAATATTTCTATTATCTTGAAATATTCTCTCTTGCCCTTTCATAATTAATCTCCTGAGCTCCAATTCCCCCCTCCCCCAGTGCTGGGAAAGCATTAACCTGTTCTCTATCCCTTTAGTTTTGCCCCTTCCAGACTATTTTATGAAAGGAAGCATATAGTATGTATCTTTTTGAGTCTGGCTTCTTTTACTTGCCATGATGCTTTTGAGATTCATCCATAATAACATATTTTTATTACTGAATACTATTCTATTTTATGAATATATAAATTTATAGCTTATATTTTAGATGCATATATACTTAGGATTAATATCTATTATAATTTTAGAGAATTTACCCTTTTATCATCATGTGATATTTCTTAGATTCTTATTTGTATGTTTGTGTTTTGCTGGTACATTAGTTATCTATTGCTGCATAACAAACTACCCAAAATTTTAGAAGGGTTGAAAACATATTTGATGTTTTTACAGTTTTCTAAAAGAAGATGACTAAGTACAGCTTCGTCGATGCCGCTGTGTATTAGTCTGATCTCACACTGCTAAAGATACTACCTGGGACTGGATAATTTATAAACAAAAGAGATTTAATTGACCCACAGTTCCACATGGCTGAGGAGGCCTCAGGAAACTTAGAATCATGGTGCAAAGTGAAAGAAAAGCGAAGCATGTCTTACATGGTGGGAGGAGAAAGAGTGCAGGGGACACTGCCACTTTTAAAACCATCAGATCTCGTGAGAATTCACTGTCATGAGAACAGCAGGAGAAACCATCCCCAGGATCCAATCACCTCCCACCAGGTCCCTCCCTCAACACGTGGGGATTGCAATTTGAGATGATATTTGAGTGGGGACACAGATCCAAACCACATCACTCCATTTCAAGATATCTCATAAGAATGTAATCAACCTGTTGGCCAGGGCTCTGGTCTCATCTAAATGCTCAGCTTGTCAGGGATCTACATGCAAACTAACTCCTGTGATTTGAGGAATGATTCAGTTTTTTGTATGTTGATAGACTGACGTATGCAGTTTCTCACTAGCTGTTGGCTAGGTTTTCCTTCAGTTTCTTACCATTTGGGACACTCCAGAGGAAAGAGCACAACATGGCACCTGAATACCTTGAGACAGCAAGAAAGAGCAAACACTCGAAATGGAAACCACACTTGTTTTATAACCTAATCTAAGAAGTGGCATCTGATTACTTCTGCTATATTGCTTGTATTAGAAAAGAGTCAATAAGTCAATCCCAAATGGGGGGTATGAAACAAGAACATAAATACAAGTTGGGAAACATTTGTGGGACACCTCAAAGGCTGCTTACCGTATAATATTCCTTTTTTTAAATTAGTGTGTGCATACTAAATCTTTTTCTAATCTCCTACCACTAACATACATATTTTATATTAAAACTTGGTATCTTCAATACAGCATAGAATGGTTCTTACTTTTTACGCAGTCTGTTATTTAAATGCATATCTTTTTGAGTTATTTACATCCATGAATTAACAACAAGTTTCAAAAAAAATAACCACCTATAATTTATCATAATGATGACAGATACACAATTAATATGAATATACACACTCCACCCCTCCAGGACATTTATCGCTCCCTCCAAAATCATATGAAGTGATTGAATACGTGTGAGTTCGTGCAATGAGTCACTTTAATTATTACAACTGATTATTATAGAATGTAGGTTGTTATGTAATGAAAGCTACTAAGATGAAAGGGATTTTGTTGCTGATAGTGTATGGATTATACATAAAAGTTAGTTCCTTGATCAAAATCAGTGCTGTGCATTATACCATGAGAGTAAAAAGGTATTCTATAAGCTCATGGATGGTGGTTTTGGCAGAAGAATGGTGTGCAGGGGCCAGGTGCAGTGGCTCACACCTATAATCCCAGCACTTTGGGAGAGCAAGACAGGTGGATCACCTGAGGTCAGAAGTTCGAGACCAGCCTGGCCAACGTGGTGAAACCCCATCTCTACTAAAAAATACAAAACAATTAGCTGGGGATGGTGGTGCATACCTGTAATCCCAGCTACTTGGAATCCAGGAGGCGGAGGTTGCAGTGAGCCCAGATAGCGCCATTATCCAGCCTGGTGACAGAGGGAGGCTCCGTCAAAGAAAAAAAAAAGCCTGGGCACTGTGGCTCACGCCCGTAATTCTAGGACTTTGGGAGGCCAAGGCAGGCGGATAACCTGAGGTCAGGAATTCGAGACCAGCCTGATAAGCATGGTGAAACCCGTCTCTACTAAAAATACAAAAATTAGCTGGGCATGGTGACTGGTGCCTGTAATCCCAGCTACTTGGAAGACTGAGACAGGAGGATTGGTTGAACCCAGGAGGTTGCAGTGAGCCGAAATGGTGACACTGCACTCCAGCCTGGGCAACAAGAGCAAAACTCTGTCTCAGGAAAAAAAGAAAAATGGTGTGCAGAAAATCTGTATCTTGAGTGTCTATTTTAGATAGAACATAATGCTACCTTTCTGTGAAGGAAGCAGTCAATGTAATCAAACTGCCACCAGGTAGCTGACTGATCAGCCCCTCAAAATGGTGCCATATCATGAATTTTATGTTGGACTTTGCTGCCAGCTCAGCCTTGACAAGTCAAAGGATATGTCATTGAGCCCATGCTAATCTTTGCCACCATGGCCATTGTTCATAACACCTTTTGTCAGTGGCAGGAGTATCTAAGAAAAGAAGATGACTGTTATTTGCAGAAGAAATGAACTTGTTCACTTCCTTATTAAAATCCTCCTTTGCTGAAATCACTTTTTAATGAGCATTCAGATGGACACAATAACAGTTTTGTCTACTCAGAAAGTTCTATTCACCTATCTCTTCCTCAAATTTTTGACCAATTTTCCAACTATATTCCTTCTAAGTTACTGACCATCCAGCCAAGCCATTGGCCACAGCCTATAAATTTTGGTATATAATGGCACATCTGGTCATTTCTTTTTCTAAGCAAAGTAAGGAGCTATGTGCTCTTCCTGAAGTTTTTTCCAGTAGGAGAATTTCCCTTTACCACTGTTCTTCAGGGACGTCCCAAAAAAGAACTGCAATTAATTAGTTGTACATGTTAGGATAGTATCTAAATATCCTGCAGAGATACCTGTAAAACAGGCCCAAGTCTTCTCTTCTTCTGTCAGCTGATCATAAGGGACTCTCCATGAGACCACAGGTGCAGGCTGGGAGAGGAAATGTAGTGTAGCAGGAGGAGTGGGGACCTTGGGCATTTAAACCACTCCTTCACGTAACATACTTGTGCTTTTAGAGCCTTCCTGGTCTCTATCACATATGTACCATTTTCATTTGATGTTGGAGTGCTTCTGTGCATGCCCAACTTAATGACTTAGTGGGTCAGATAACACCCAGTTCATGATGGACAGTTCACATTGCATGGTAACTTGTTGACATGGATAAGCATTAGTCTCTACTAAGGCCTAGTAGCAGGCCGAGTTCTTTCTCTTAAAAAAAGAATAGTTGTGTGCAGAGGATTACAGGGCTTTTTTCCAAAATCCTAAAATACTGAGCTGCTGTTCACATATAGGGGCCTGTCAAAGGCTACAAAGAGCATCCTTATCTGCCACCGACACTTTAAACATCATTGGATCTGCTGTATCATATGGCCCAAGTAGTAGAGCAGCTTGCATGGCAGCCTGTTTTAGATATCTATCTTTCTGGGCCCCAGTCAAAACTAGCTGCCTTTCAGGTCACTTAGTAAATGAGCCAGAGTGTCACACCCAAAAGAGAAATATGTTGCCTCTAAAATCAAATGAGGCCTATAAGGCATTGAGCTTCTTTTCTGATTATGTGAGGAGCCAGATGCTACAACTTATACTTCACCGTAGGTGGAATATCTTGACATGCCCTATACCAGTCTAACGATAGAGACTTCAATAAGGTGGAAGGCCTCCAGATTTTAGTCACATTTATTTCTCACCGTGTTACATACAAATATATTGTGAATAAGTCTAGAGTAGTTGCTATTTCTCACTCACTAGGTCCAATCATGATAATGTCATCAGTGTCATGAACTAGTGTGACAACTTGTGGAGAGGAAAGATGATCAAGAACTTTGCAAAATGAATTATGACTGGAGAGTTGATGTACCCCTGAGGTGGGACAGTAAAGTTGTATTGCTGGCCTTGATGGCTGAATGTAAATTGCTTCTTTTGGTCTTCCTTGATAAGGATGGAGAAAGTGTATTTACCAGATCGACAGCTGCACCAGGTACTAGTAGATGTGGTAATTTTCTCAAGCAATAGAACCACATCTGGCACAGCAGCTACAACTGGAGTCACCACCTGGTTAAGTCTACGATAAATCACTGTCATTTTCCACGATCTGTCTGTCATCTGCCCAGGCCAAATAGGGAAGCTGAAAGGAGATGTAGTGTAGTCATCTCCCCTTCATCTTTCAAACTAATCCTTGATTGTGGCACAATCCTAAAAAGATAGCAGTATTTCTTTTGGTTTACTATGTTCCTGGGTACAGGCAGTCATAGTGACTTATGCTTGGCCTTTCCCAGCAAAGAAACCTTCACTCCACACATTGGGGATTTAATATGTGAATTCTACCAGCTCCTGAGTATTTTTATTCCAATTATGCATTTCAGAACTGGAGGAAGAGCCACAGGATAAGTTTGAGGACCCACTGGACCCACTGTGAGATAGATCTGAGCTAAAACTCCATTGATTACCTGACCTCCATAAGTCGTTAGTCTAACTGGACCACAGTTTTGGGTATCCTGTTTTGAGTATCCTATGTTTTGGGTATCCTGGAATCAGTATCATTTCAGAGTCAGTGTCCAGCATTTTCCCAAATTCTGATTCTTTCCTTTTTCTCAAAACATAGTTACCCTGAGTTTCCCTGGTGTAAGGCTGTAGATCCCTTGAGGAAGGCTGGAAGGAAGATTA
The DNA here is from genome assembly GCF_000001405.40 of Homo sapiens. Taxonomy (NCBI): domain Eukaryota; kingdom Metazoa; phylum Chordata; class Mammalia; order Primates; family Hominidae; genus Homo; species Homo sapiens. The sequence continues at coordinate 30,304,538 of NC_000009.12, read as the reverse complement.
ATAGTATAAATGTTTGACAGTGTACCAAGATTCTCCATCAAGGAGATCCAGCTTTCCCTTTATTCAAGGACTTTGGGTCTGTAACCTGGCTGAAGTCTGGGAATTGTTTGAGGTTGCTTGACTCTCTGTTTTTATGATTCAAGTTAGACTTTAATTCACTAACCCTGGAACATTTCTGCTTATTCTAGTAAGAATTTATTAGATGTTCCACCTATTTCACTTCTAGAAATATTGTGGTCAACTAGCCAATGCCACAGGTTTGTATGAGTCAGACTATCCTGATTGCTGTTGGTACTCTGCTGTCCATTATGCTAACCAGGCCCACTTTGCCTCTGGTGGTTGAGTGCTGCCACTTGGCCTCTACCATTACTCCCAATCACATTTAGGTTTCCCAATTGAGTGATTGACATTTCTACTAGATGGTCTGGTCTACAGAGAAGACCGACTGCAGAGCTCTTCAAGGATACTGGGGCTCCCTTCTCAAATTCCGTCTCATAGTCATGGAGAAAGGTGTGTGTTTTGGACTCTCTTTGGGTGGGTAATTTCTAAATGAAAAAATCCTGCTAGTATTTCAGATTCTCGAAGCCTTTTCCTTTGCATTAAGTCAAAAGAGTCCCCATATTTTTAAGTCGTTCATAGTGGGCCAACATGTTGATAGTTGATTCAGCCAATCAACCAATCTGTTAGAGCACTTTCTAATTCCTTAAGTTACAACATTAAAACAGTTTCTGCTTAGTGAGCCCCTATCAACACATAGAGCCTTATACAAATTTATGTTCTTCTGCCATTATCCCACACCCTTAATATCTATTCCCACATATGTTCCCCTTAATAGTTTATGTACAAATAGGAAAATTGAAGTAATTCTTTTGGAGTATAGCACACTTCATAAGGAATTACACATTGTACTGCACTTTTAGAGACTTGTGGATAATTTAGTCCAGCTATTGGTAGAAGCAAAGAGGATTGGTAGGGATAGGTCCTGAGAAGAATCAACATTATATAGCAGTAGCTTCAAGGGAAGCCATTATAGTTCCCTCAGGCAATGCAGGATTAACTCCCTTAGACAGAATGGAGAGGCTGCTTCCACTGAGTGTGTAGGTGCCTGTTTACTTAGAGTGGAGAGGCCTTTTCCATGTGCAAAGAAGTCGCATTAGCATTTGAGGGCTCAATATTCCCAGCTTTATCAGGGTCTTCTCACACATTCCCACACCAAGTTTCAGGACCCCATTCCTTCCCAATCAATGTTCACACTTTAACAACAGACACAGTATAAAACTGAGAGTTCTTTGTGTGTATGTGTGTGTTTAACTTTTAAGTTCAGGTATGTATGTGCCTGTACAGGTTTGTTATGTAGGTAAACTTGTGTCATGGGGGTTGTTGTACAGATTATTTTGTCACTCGGGAATTAAGCTTAATACCATTAGTTATTTTTCCTGATCCTCTCCTTCCTCCCACTCTCCATTCTCCAACAGACACCAGTGTGTGTCATTCCCCTCGATGTGTCCACTGTTCATCATTCTGCTCCCACTTATGAGTGAGAATGTGCAGTATTTGGTTTTTTGTTCCTGCATTAGTTTGATGAGGATAACGGCCTCCAGATCTATCCATGTCCTTGTAATGAACATGATCTCATTTCTTTTTATGGCTACACAGTATTCCATGATGCATATGTACCATATTTTCTTTATTTAGTCTATCATTGATGGGCATTTAGGTTGATTCCATGTGTTTTCTATTGTGAATAGTGCTGCAATGAACATATGCATGTGTCTTTATAATAGAATGATTTATAGTTTGGGGAGTATATACCCAGTAATGGCTAGTTCTGTTTTTAGGTCTTTGAGGAATCACCACATGGTCTTCCACAATGGTTGAACTAATTTCACAGTCCCACTAATTCTATATAAGTATTTCTCTTTTTCCACAACCTCACCAGCATCTGCTATTTTTTGGCTTTTTAGTAACAGCTATTCTGACTGGTGTGAAATGGTATCCCATTATGGTTTTGATTTGCATTTCTCTAATAAACAATGATGTTGAGCTTTTCTTCATGTGATTGTTGGCCATGTGTATGTCTTCTTTTGAAAAATGTCTGTTAATGTCCTTTGCTTACTTTTTAATGGGGTTGTTCTTTGCTTGTAGATTTGTTTAAGTTCGTCATACATGCTGCATATTAAGCCTTTGTCAGATGCATAGTTTGCAAAAATTTTCTCTCATTCTGTAGGTTGTCTGCTCAATCTGTTGATGATTTCCTTTGCTGTGCAGTAGCTCTTAAGTTTAATTACATCCCATTTGTCAATTTTTGCTTTCGTTGCAATTACTTTTGGCATCTTCATCATGAAACCTTTGCCCGTGCCTATGTCCTGAATGGTATTGCCTAGGTTGTTTTCCAGGGTTTTTATAGTTTTGGGCTTTACATTTAAGTATTTAATCCATCTTCAGTTAATTTTTGTATATGGTGTAAGGAATGGGTCCAGTTTTAATTTTCTGTATATGGCTTTCCAGTTATCTCAGCACCATTTATTGAAGAGGGAAGTCTTTCCCCATTGCTTGTTTTTGTCAGGTTTGTTGAAGATCAGATAGTTGTAGGCGTGTGGCCTTAGTTCTGAGTTCTCTATTCTGTTCCATTGGTGTATGTATCTGTTTTTGTACCAGCACCATGCTGTTTTGGTTACTGTAGCTCTGCAGTATTGAAGCAGAAAATATAAAAAGAAAAACAAGTAAAGGGAAAACAAGTCCTTCCCTATGCTGACTCACTCCAAGGTCCTGCTAGGACTATGATAACATTATCTGCAAAGCCAGGCAGGACCCAGAGGGAATGGGCTCCAGGAGCAACGATGAGAAAAACAATTTCTTCTTATCAGTTTCCCTCTTTTTGCATTCTTTCCCCGTATCATTATTCTTTGTTCTACTCTCGTAACTATTTTTACAACTGTTTCTACAAGTTTGTAAGGATTTTCTAAGTTCCTGTTTTCCTGTCTGTAGTATGGCGAAGGTCACAAGACATGCCTGAGTTGCAACATCTGTCACTGTTTAATAAACTGTCATTGTTCTGCTTCTGTAAGCTTGCTTGCCCACCCTGTAAGTTTTGTGTCACTAGCTGGCCAACACCCTCCAGTTGCATGCATAAAAGTCAAGCCCTGTCTTTGTTTGGAGCTCAGCCTTTGGATGTTCATCTTCTGAGTTGGTGGCCACCTAATAAAATCCTCCTGTCCCACAAATTGGTCTCTCCTGTCCTGTGATTCCTGCAACAGTATAGTTTGAAGTCAGATGGTGATACATTCAGCTTTGTTCTTTTTGCTTAGGATTGCCTTAGCTATTTGGGTTCTTTTTTGGTTCCATGTGAATTTTAAAAAAATGTTTTATACTTCTGTGAAGAATCTGAATGGTAAATAGGTACAGCATTGAATCTATAAATTGCTTTGGAAAGTATGGCTTTTTTTGTTTGTTTTTTTTGAGATGGAGTCTCACTCTGTCGCCCAGGCTGGACTGCAGTGGTGCCATCTCAGCTCACTACAAGCTCCGCCTCCCAGGTTCATGCCATTCTCCTGAAGTATGGCCATTTTTATGAATTGATTCTTCCTATCCAGAGTTCAACTTGCAATTTAATTCAGCTAGTCAGAGGATGAGCTTTTGGGGTTTTTTTTCTTTTTCTTTTTTTAATCTAAGTTGCATAACTACAAGAAATAAACTCCCTCAAGGCATTTATAAAATCTTAGATAATTAATGTGATGGTTGAGCTAGGAATTCAAATCCCTGAATGCATCCTTTACTCACTTGGTCCAACAACATTAGGAACAAACAGCCACTGTCGTCATATTTGTTGAAAGATGTTTAAATGTTTCAAAGATCCTTGCCTCTTACAAGCAGGTGATTATGTGTCTGGAATTGGTGGGTTCTTGGTCTCACTGACTTCAAGAATGAGGCCGCGGACGCTCGCAGTGACTGTTACAGTTCTTAAAGGCGACATGTCCGGAGTTTGTTCCTTCTGATGTTCGGATGTGTTCAGAGTTTCTTCCTTCTGGTGGGTTCATGGTCTTTCTGGCTACAGGAGTGAAGCTGCAGACCTTCGCGTTGAGTGTTACAGCTCTTAAGGCAGTGTGTCTGCAGTTGTTCATTCCTCCCAGTGGGTTCGTGGTCTCGCTGGCCTCAGGAGAGAAGCTGCAGACCTTCGCAGTGTGTGTTACAGCTCATAAAGGCAGCGTGAACCCAAAGAGTGAGCAGCAGCAAGATTTATTGCAAAAAGTGAAGGAATAAACCTTCCACAGCATGGAACCGGACCCGAGAAGGTTGCCAGTGCTGGCTGGGGCAGCCTGCTTTTACTCCTTTATCTGGCCCCACCCACATCCTGCTGATTGGTCCATTTTACAGAGAGCTGATTGGTCTGTTTTACAGAGCGCTGATTGGTCTGTTTTGACTGGGTGCTGATTGGTGCATTTACAATCCCTAAGCTAGACACAAAAGTTCTTCAAGTCCCCACTAGATTAGCTAGACACAGAGCACTGATTGGTGCATTTACAAACTTTGAGCTAGACACAGGGTGCTGATTGGTGTATTTACAAACCTTGAGCTAGACACAGAGTGCTGATTCGTGCATTTACAATCTCTCAGCTAGACATAAATGTTCTCCAAGTTCCCACTAGATTAGCTAGACACAGAGCACTGATTGGTGCATTTACAAACCTTGAGCTAGACACAGGGTGCTGATTGATGTGTTTACAAACTTTGAGCCAGACACAGAGTGCTGATTGATGTATTTACAATCCCTTAGCTAGACATAAAGGTTCTCCAAGTCCCCACTAGACTCAGGAGCCCAGCTGGCTTCACCTAGTGGATCCCACACTGGGGTGCAGGTGGAGCTGTGTGCCAGTCCTGGGTGGTGGGCCCACACTCCTCAGCCCTTGGGCCATCGATGGGACTGGGCACCATGGAGCAGGGGGCGGCACTTGTCGGGGAGGCTCAGGCTGTGCAGGAGCCCACAGCAGGCAGGCAGGCTCAGGCATAGCGGGCTGTGGGTCCCCAGCCCTGCCTCACTGGGAGGCAGCTGAGGCCCGCCAAGAATTCGAGTGCAGCCCCAGCAGGCCGGCACTGCTGGGGGACCCCGCACCCTCCACAGCTGTTGGCCCAGGTGCTAAGCCCCTCACTACCTGGGGCATGCGGCACCAGCCGGCCGCTCTGAGTGCAGGGTCTGCCAAGGGCACACCCACCCGGACCGGGCGCTGGCCCACAAGCGCCAGGCGCAGCCCCAGTCCCCACCCGTGCCTCTGCCTCCACACCTCCCTGCAAGCTGAGGGAGCCGGCTCTGGCCTCAGCCAGCCCAAGGAGGGGCTCCCACAGTGCAGCGGAAGGCCGAAGAGCTCCTCAAGCACGGCCAGAGTGGGCGCTGAGGCCGAGGAGGCACCGAGAGCGAGCGAGGGCTGTGAGGGCTGTGAGGGCTGCCAGCACGCTGTCACCTCTCAATTAGGAGTATCCATTAATATCTTTGTGTATTTCTTTAGCCATAACAGATCATGGACTATCTGTGTTCCCTTTACTACTGTAAATGGAGTCATGTCACATCTTTAAATCTAATCATATTAGAAAAGCAATACCAAAACCCTAGAAGCGATTCAGAAAACTAATTGTTAAAAACCTATTTATCTACAACTCCTAATACCAAAATCTATATTAGAGTTCTCAAAAGACAAACGAACAAAAAAACAGAACTAATAGAATGTGTGTGTGTTTGCATGTGTGTGCATGGAGAGAGAGAGAGAGAGACAAAGCAAAGTGAAGACCCAGGAAAGCTGATGGCAATGAATTTCAGTTGTGCTTAACACAAAATTCAAACTTGTTACCATGGTCCTTAATGATTTTGCTCCTGTTTTCTAGTCCTTTGTTTTTGTCTCTGTCTCTGTCTCTCTTTTTATCCTCTCACTCATTCAGCTCTAAGCTATTTTCCTTCCTGCAGCCTACCATAAGATCTTCAAATATGGCAAAGTATTAACACCTGATGGCCTTTATACATGTTGTTCTCTCTCAAATTCTTCCTTTCATATTTTAAACTGATTTGTTGATTATCCTATAAAGAAAATGTGGTACACGTACACCACAGGATGCTATGTTGCCATAAAAAATATGAGATTATGTCCTTTGTAGCAACATGGATAGGACGGAAGGTCACTGCCCTAAGCAAATTAACACAGGAATAGAAAACCAAATACTACCAGGTTTCACTTATAAGTGGGAGCTAAATGTGGAGTACACATGGACACCAAGAAAGGAACAATAGTCACTGGGGCCTACTTGAGGGTGAAGGGTGGTAGGAGGATGAAAATTGAAAAATGACCTATCAAGTCTCATGCTGATTACCTGGGTGAAAAAATTGCCTGTACACCAAACTCCTGCAACACACAATATACGCATGTAACGAACTTCTACATGTACTTCTTGAAACTAAAATACAAATTGGAAAGAAAATAAAAAGTGATTGCAAATGAAAAGTCTCCAGTAGCAAATGACCTAATTTTAGAAATGGGAAAAAGCAAACAATCTGATAGAAGTCTATTTTCTCTCTTGACTTTTCACAGATTACGTTGTCCCAAAATTCAAAATTAAATAAATAGAGCAGAAAGAAGATATTTGAAATGACATACCAGTCATACTGCAGCCGATAAAAGTGTGAATTCCTTTTCCAAGGTACTTAGTCATATCTAGTTGTATCTGTTTCCCCTCCAACTCTGTTTCTCAAAAGCGTGATCATGATGATGGTTTGCTTCCTTGGTTCTATGGGTGTACCAAGCCTTGGAATAAAGTTTGTCCAGAACAGCATTGTAAAAACTGCTCTTGATTTCAAAAATAAAAATTAAAAAATAAATATCATCCTAAAAGATGGAAGACACTTTACGTTCATGCAATTTTGTTTCCTTTAAAGGACAATTTCTAATAATTGTATTTATTTTTATGTGATTATTGAATTTATTTACTTTCCCAAAGTAATCACCTGGAGAGTTGATACCAAGTCCAATTTGTTCAATGTTAAGAATTCAGATTCTTGAGTAGTTCTCCACACATAATGAGCCATTGACAAATACTTACTGGTTGTATTGGTAAGCATAAACAATGTCATTTTTCAAATTATTTTTGTATATTATGGTTTCAGTGGACCCGCCATTGATCTTGAAGAAAATAACTTTCCTACAGAATGATTCAGCATAAAGATTAACTTGAAAGACCAAACAACATATGTTATGGCTTTTATAGTCTTTTACCTCTTACCCAACTTTTTGTAATCCCATATGCTTAGAGCTGTTAATTATTTTCTGTCTTACATTATTGTGTCTGTTGTGACTGTTTATATTGCATATGTTCTCAGAGGAAACCACAGCAGGCCAGATGTGATGTTAACAAATATACACATCATATGATAAATTGTTAGGTATTCTGCAATAAAGATTACATTAAAAGGTACTCCTATGCCAATGTCATATATTCATCAAAACTTTCTTTCAAGACAAGCCTACTAAATTATTTTTTAAATTTATTCAAGCATTATTCTCCGTTTCTATATTGATTTTTGAGAATATTTTAACTAGGTAGAATTTTTAAAAGGTGATATTTGCTGTATTGTCAGCTGTTGCTAACTTTGCACAAAGTGATTCCTGAGAATGTTGAAAAAATGGAAATTTAAGCAGTAGTTTTAAATCTTCCTTTCCCCTTGATATCAACTTTAACATAATTTAAAATTGTTCTCTCTAGTGGTTAAAAGAGTGCATGTTGTTTATACAGACAACATCCAAAATTACGTTTCAAATACTGGTATCTATTCTCAGTTTCAGGTCCTAAAATTTGACCCAAAGTTGAAGACACATAGACTTGAAGAAATTAAAATTGTATTTTAATTTCTAAATCTCTTTTTTCTTGTTATTTATTTCTTTTAATGTTTCTTCATTTTCTCTTATCCCTCCTCCCCCAGAAAAGTAAGAAATTTGAGATTTATTTGAAATTTTGTCACTCTTGTGAATGACAATTTTTATATTAAGTTCTATTGGTTCTAATTTCACATTACTGATATACATCACCTCCACCTTCACTATCTAACAGTGTGAGGTGAATACTATTGCCTGTTTGGACTGATATTAATTTCTCATTTGCTTCCCTTTCTCATTTCTAAAGTGAGAACACACATGGATTTAATTCATGGAAAGTAATTAAAACAATGATTAGCACAAAATAATCATTGGGCCATAATCTACTTTCATTAACATATGGCTCAGAATATTTAATCCTTACCCAGGGATTTATGTATGGCAGTTTCAATATTATTGTTGATAATCTATTAAACACAATTTGGCCCAGAATTCTTGAATATTTTCAGTCACATAATGTGTTGTACTACAGATCAATCATCCCTTAGCAAAAGCACACCTTACACCTTGTTATATTTATCATTTATTTTATTGACTTTTATTGTGATTACATAGAGATTATACAACTTTGAAAAATTCCACACAAATATTTTTCTAGTATTTTACTAATATGCTTGGCTGAGGGAGGGCAGACACTCAGCTGAAGAGATCAAAATTCTTTTGTGGTATCTATCAGAACTGGAGGGTTGAAAACAAAACAGTGTTTCCCATACACAATGTATGAAAGAGAAAGTTAAGTATTCTCAAAGAAAAATTGCACTAGACAGAGTTAAACAGTCAAGGAAGACTTTTGTCAAGAATATTGCAATGAGGGAGAGAGATTGAACTCAACTCCACTGAAACAAAAGGTTGGAGGAGTTCAGAGCTAGAAAGAGCTAGTAGCAAAATATTGGTAGACATTAGAAGGAAGGCTGGTCAGTGTAATTAGGTCATCTGTGTTTGCCATTTGGTGCTTTTGGAAGTTAGGCTCCTACCCTTTCACAAAAATTGAGAGATAAGAATAACATTTTTTTTTTTCATCATATTTCAAAGGACTGGCTTTCAGGTTCTTGAGAAAAAAATTCTCTGGGTAGAAAACTGGCAAGAGACTGAGAGAAGATTTACATGTCAGTGGGGCAGAGAAATAATTTACAATGGAAACTTCACTAAAGTAAATTCTCTAAGGGAGGGAAGGAGCCTATTGTCAGGAAGAAATATGTCTGTAGCTTAGTCAAGCCGAGGGAAACATTCAGATCACGTTTGTCAGTATTCAGTAAATGCTACTTGTCATTACTGTTAAAATTAATCATGAGAAGGAATACTTGCTATGATTACTATTTAGCTTTTAAGGAAAAAAGGGGTACATATAAATAAAAAGGCAAATTAATTATATATTTATATTCTAAGTGAAATAATTCTATACTGCTAAACACAACAAAAACAATAAAGAAAACTATTTGAATTGTTAAGATAATATACAAAAATAAATGTGTATTTTTTGAGCTAAATAATAACCATTTAGAAAAGAAAATGCTAATATAGACCCTTTCCAGTAGAAAAGATATTAAATGTCCAAGAATAAATTGATAAAATTGTGCAGATCCTATAAGAATAAAATTTGAAAAGTTTTCAAGGATGAATAGTATTAGCAACAATAAAAGTATTATTATTACAGTTACATTTTATTGAGTGCTTAAAATAAGCTGCAGTTAGTATGGACCCTTCACTTTGTGTGTATGTTCTTTATCAGTATTATCTCCTTAAAAAATTAAAGTATACTTAATATGCAATTTAAAAAAAAATAGAGAATTTTTTGTAATAGGATTTTCTAAATTTTGAAGCTGGATATCACAAAATTAATAAATTGTTTATGAAATTCCACAAATGATATAATTTCTGTTATTTCTACTGACATAGTTTTTATTTCACAAAAATGACAGTAAATTTCCTCAGTTGATGGGCCTTAATCATTTTATTTATAGTCATGATCCTTATGCCTGCTTTGTTGTTTTCTATGACTTTTAGTTTCCAGTAAGAATTATTTATGTTCACTTTCTTTTGGAGAACACCAAATATTGATATAAAAACAAGAAATAGCTACACAATGTTTTTAGTGAATGATGATTTACTGATTTAAATGCAGAAAGGCAGGTAAATGGTTGAATAATTATTCAATTTTGACACTGCCCATTATTACAATTTATAGTAGGATATTTATACATTCTTTTATTTACATAATAGATCCATTAATATTGAGTGATATGGGTTGGCTGTTTCCCCTCCGAAATATCAACTTGAATTGTATCTCCCAGCATTCCCATGTGTTGTGAGAGGGACCCAGGGGGAGGTAATTGAATCATGGGGGCTGGTCTCTCCTGTGCTATTCTCATGATGGTGAATAGGTCTCATGAGATCTGATGAGTTTATCAGGGGTTTCCACTTTCGCTTCTTCCTCAGTTTCTCTTGCCACCACCATGTATGAAGTACTTTTTGCCTCCCATCATGATTCTGAGGCCTCTCCAGCCATGTGGAACTATAAGTCCAATTAAACCTCTGTTTCTTCCTGGTCTCAGGTATGTCTTTACCAGCAACATGAAAATGGACTAGTACAGTAAATGGCACCAGTTGAGCAGGTCATTGCTGAAAATATACCTGAATATGTGGAAACTGCTTTGGAACTGGGTAGTGGGCAGAGGTTGGAACAGTTTGGAGGGCTCAGAAGAAGACAGGAAAATGTAGGAAAGTTTGGAACTTCTTAGAGACTTATTGAATGGCTTTGACCAAAATGCTGACAGTAAAATCCAGGCTGAGGTGGTCTCAGATGGAGATAAGGAACTTGTTGGGAACTGGAGCAAAGGTGACTCTTGTTATGTTTTACCATAGAGACTGGCAGAATTTTGCCCCTGCCCTAGAAATTTGTGGAATTTTGAACTTGAGAGAGGTGATTCAGGGTGTCCAGCAGAAGAAATTTCTAAGCAGCAAGCATTCAAAAGGTGACTGGTGCTGTTAAAAGCGTTCTGTTTTAAAAGGGAAACAGAGCATAAAAGTTCAGAAAATTTGAAGCCTTACAATGCAGTAGAAAAGAAAAACTCATTTTTTGGGGAGAAATTCAAGCCCCCTGAACAAATTTGTATAAGTAGCAAGGAGCCTAATGTTAATCCCCATGACCAAGGGGAAAATGTTTCCAGGCCATGTCAGAGAACTTCCTGGCAGCCCCTCCCATCACAGGTCCTGAGGCCCAGGAAGAATAAGTGGTTTTGTGGCTGGGCCTAGGATTTCCATGCTGTGTGCAGCCTAGGGACTTCATGCCCTGTGTCCTAGCCACTCCAGCCATGCCCAAAAGGGGCCAACATACAGCTCTGGCTGTGGCTTCAGAGACTGGGAGCCCCATACCATGGCACCTTCCACGAGGTGTTGAGCATGGGGGTATACAGAAGTCAAGAATTGAAGTTTGGGAACCTCCACCTAGATTTCAAAAGACGTATGAAAATACCTGGATGCCCAGACAAAAGTTTGCTGCAGTGATGGGGCCGTCATGGAGAACCTCTGCTAAGGCAGTGAGTAAGGGAAATGTGGGGTCGGAGCCCTCACACAGAGTCCCTACTGGGGAACCACCTAGTGGAACTATGAGAAGAGGCCCATGGTCCTTCAGACCCCAGAATGGTAGACCCACTGACAGCTTGCACCATGTGCCTGGAAAAGCTGCAGACACTCAATGTCAGCCCATGAAAGCAGCCAGGAGGGAGGCTGTACACTGCAAAGCTGCAACAGCAGAGCTGCCCAAGACCATGGGAAACCACCTCTTGCATCAGCATATCCTGGATGTGAGACATGGAGTCAAAGGAGATTATTTTGGAGCTTTAAAGTTTGACTGCCCCACTGGATTTCAGACTTGCATGGGCCCTGTAACCTTTGTGTTTTGGCCTATTTCTCCCATTTGGAAGAGCTGTATTTGCCCAATACCTGTACCCCCATTGTATCTAGGAAGTCACTAGCTTGCTTTTGATTTTATAGGCTCAGAGGCGTAAACGACTTGCCTTGTCTCAGATAAGACTTTGGACTGTGGACTTCTGGGTTAATTCTGAAATGAGTTAAGACTTTAGGGGCTGTTGGGAAGGCATGATTGGTTTTGAAATGTGAGGCATGAGATTTGGAGGGGCTGGGGTGGAATGATATGGTTTGGCTGTGTCCTCACTGAAATCTCAGCTTGAATTGTATCTCTCAGAATTTCCACATGTTGTGGGAGGGACCCAGGGGGAGGTAATTGAATCATGAGGGCCAGTCTTTCCCATGCTATTCTCATGATAGTGAATAAGTCTCATGAGATCTGATGGGTTTATCAGGGGTTTCTGCTTTTGCTTCTTCCTCATTTTCTCTTGCCACTACCATGTAAGAAGTGCTTTTCACCTCTTGCCATGATTCTGTGGCCTCCCTAGCCATAGGGAACTGTTAAGTCCAATTAAACCTCTTTTTCTTCCCAGTCTTGGGTATGTCTTTATCAGCAGCATGAAAACAGACTAATACATTGAGCTCACTTAATAATATTTTAGCACTGTTTATAGTTTATTTCAAATTCATTATTCAAAGTATTATACATCTAGCCAAATAGAGATCAATTTATTGAAATACTTTTTTAAGTTTATTATGATCAATAAATGTTTTACATTAATCTACTATACCATTTTTTGTATTTAGATATTCACTAATACATAAATATACAAATATGTGATAAAGTTAAATATTTGCTTTTAGCTTTAAGATATACTTAAAAAAACATGATTTAACATATATTAAATTTGTAAAATTCTGTTATATTACTCAGTAATGCCATCAAAAAACAAGCAGAGAAACCATATTTTTGATGTATCTATGTTTATATTTTTATGTCACTATTGTATCTAGTCTCAAACATTTCTACTTACTATCACGTTTAATCAAAGTAAACAAATTTTATCTTGTTCCAGGAAAAAAAGAAAACTATAAACTAAGAAAACTATAACTTTTTAGCTATATTTTATGTGCAAACATTTTCTATAACTTTAACAAATTTTAAGATGATAAGCGTTTATACATCATGTAAAACATTTTAATAATCTATAAATCTGTAGTTATCCCATAATGTATAAAAATAAGAAGCAACTAAATTCATAATCATGTTTAGTGACAGATATTTTTCTTACTTATATATTATCCAGGCATGTAAATGTTATTTACCAATTAACTCAATTTAATATTAGTGTAAATTCTGAAAGTTGACTAAAAATCTGAAAATACAATTTAAGTTAACATTTAAGGCTATATGATTTTTTAGCAATATAAAAATGTATCAACAAAAAAGATTAATCAATTTTTAAAGGACATCAATTATTAAACAAATGTACAATTTGTGGCAACAATAATAACTTACTTGATCCATACAACTAATGTCCAAAAATTATATTTTTTAAACTGATAAATCAAATCTAGCTCTAGTATTAATAAATATATTATACAAATGTTATTTTTCAAAGTTGCAAAATCAGGGATTAACTAACATTAAATTACCTAGTTTGTCCACTGAATTATCAGTTTATCAGGGATATTTCAAAAAATCTCTTGATCAATAATATTTATATACCTGTGTTAATATATCAAATGTTTAAGAATCAAATGTTTATATCAAACACTTAAAAATCTCAAAGTTATGACAAAAAGTCTAAGTGTCTTGCTTTTATTATTTGGCAATTATGTATATTACTAAAATCTACATTTAGAATTTTTTTCTGAATTACATTTTTGTTTAGAAAATAAAAAGTTTCTAAGGAATCAAGATATTTAATATAAAATAAACCCAGTTTAAATTTATAAAATTTTTCTTTTGGAAATTTGTAGCTTTTATTTCAATTAGATATTTAAAAGTGTACCCATAATCACACAATATATGTTCTTTTATGATCAATTATTCTACAAGATTTTCAAAGAGAATGAGAAAAAAAAAGAATGACAGAAGCAGAAAAAGAAGAAGCTGGTTTTGTACAGAAATTAAGTTATCACTATAAAGGGCAAATTATCCTACATCTGCAGGATAAGAGAAAGCTTTCAATGCAGGAAAGCACTTGTTACGATTCACTCTCAAAAAACCCAACCTCAAATTTTTACATATTTTATTTCACTTATTACTTTTGCTTACACTGACAATTGTCTTTTGTAGATATTTACAGAATAAGAAACAAGTCTTCTATAACTACCTTCATATTTACTATTTCTGTTGTGCTTCTTGTTTCTTTCCTATATGTAGACACAGATTTATAGATTTCCAACTTTTATTATTTTCCTTATGCCCGAAGGAGTGCTTTTAACAATTCTTATAATGTCTGTATATATTTTTTTTCTGAGAATTTGTTGAGCTTCTTTGAGTCATGATTTCTACTTTTTATATATTTTGGAAAGTTTTCAGTGTTAGTTTTTCAACCACCACTCCTACCTTTCATTAGAGCCTCCAATTATGAGTATATTTAGGACACCAGTAGTTTACTTATTTCTGTCTGCATTTCATTTTTAAAAGTTTTTGTTTTGAAATAATTATAGGTTTGCAGGGAATATTTTTAAAATGTCCAGAGAAGTTTTATGCACCCTTCGTCCTGCCTTTCCAAATGTTGATAAATTGTGTAACTTTGATATTGATACTCCAATAGCAAAATCAGGAAATTGACAACCACATAGTTTACTCAGATTTCATTGGTTATACATGCATTCATTTTTTGTGTTTCTGTGTGTATCTATAGAATCATGCTCAATTTTAGCACACTTGTAGCTTCATGTAAGCACCACCAGAATCAAGACACAAAACGTTTATTTATAGCCTCACTCCCTTCCTTGCTCTTCAAACCCTAAGCTTTGGCAACTACTAATCTGTTCATCTCTATATTGTTTTTTATTTCATGTGTCTTTTATAAACAGGATCACTATCCATTATTTTATTTCTTGATAGGTTTCAATAGACTTTTTCTGTGTTTTTGCATATCTGGCAATTTTTTTATTGAATGACAAAAAATGTGAATTTGGTATTGATGGGTGCTAGATCTTTTTTTATTCTTATACATATGCTTGATCTTTATTCACTGATGCAATTAAATTACTTGGTAAACATTTTATTTTTTAAGTATAAGTCAGGTTTAGACCTGCGAAGCAGCAACCAATAGAATCATTCTAGAAGAGTTACACACACACACACACACACACACACACACACACCAGTAATGGAAGGAATTGACTCACTCAATTATGAGGTTAGCTAAGCAGTGTCCTCAAGCCTTAAGCCCAGGGTTCACGAGACAGTTAGTTATATGCAAAGCTTAAGAGCAGCCTGGAATCCCATGACCTGGAACCTCACAAGAAGTGACTGACGTCCATGTCCTTCTTTGTCTCTGACCTAGTGAAGAAAGGTATGCTACGTTGATCAATGCCATGTATGTAGCTGAACACATACAGCCCTGGCCCAGGAATCAGAGAAACTCAGTAAAGGTCCTGAGGGACCACTGTAGTTCCACCTGCTACTCTGGGCAAGGAGTAGCAGATCAGCAGTAACATGTGTGTTTGCTAAGAATGGCTGCCCCCTTCCTTTAGCCCTGTAGCTCTCAGGAGATAAATAGCCTTAGAGCCTACCCTAATAGGAAACATACTAGAGAGGGAGTTCTAGGAAATGTAGTTTAGCATTTCTAGAACAGCCTTGAGTCTAATCAAATTTCGTTTTGCTACTGAAGCATTAACTTTCTAATATTCTACCCAATGGGCTGTGAATTCTATGTGTGTGTGTGTGTGTGTGTGTGTGTGTGTGTGTGTGTGTGTGTTTACTCTATATAGTGGAAATACAAATTATTCTTAAACCCATAGAGTTCCAGGGATAGGTCTTTATTTTTCTTTTGATGATGTTGTGTAGTTTCCTCTCACATATGTACTGATTAGTACTCAACTGAAGACTCAAGGAGACCCTATGCAGTTATCTAGAGCATGCTTTCTCTCTCTCTCTCTCTCTCACACACACACACGCACACACAAACACACATACACACACAGACTCTCACTCTTTATCTCTCTCTCTCTTCATTTACTTGGGCTCCCTGAAATCCTCACTATCTTCTCAACTCGACCAGGCTCTGCCTGGGTTTTACCTTCCTGTACTGTGTCCTGGAAACTCTCTTAATTAAGCCATGGCAATAGTGGGGTTTACCACATTTGTTTCCCCTGTGTCAGGGTCATTGGTCACAGGTTCGCTGAAGTTCATCTAATATCTGAAAATGTTTGTTTCGTGTATTCTTATATAAAAATAAAGTTTGTAAATGTTTATAATTGTTTTAGAGAGAAGAGGAACTCTTGTCCTTATTATTTCAGCTTGGCTAAAAGCCGTATTCCTTGTATGCTTTTATTGTTTTTCTGGTTCAACTTTTATGATGTTCATGACTCTCCAAAGTTGTTTTTAAGTGAGAACTTGTTTTATTCACCTCATCCCATCCTATTGATGGGTCCTGAACTCTAAACTTTGTCTCCTAGACACTCAGCAGTGTTTCCTATCCTGCAGCAGTCTCCCCAACTTTTTTTTTTTGCAAAACATCTCTCAGCATCTTATCTTTTCCTGTAATCTGCAAATGGCCCTAATGAAAAAGCAGCCGCTAATCATAAGTCACTTCTCTGTAGTTTTGTCTTCTGTGTTGTTTTAGCTCTTGCCTTTTTGCCTCATTGGTTTTCTAATATATTTAAATAATTTTTTAAAATAGAAATTTAAAATGTTCTCATTTTTCTTTTTTTTTATTTATTTTTTTTATTATTATACTTTAAGTTTTAGGGTACATGTGCACATTGTGCAGGTTAGTTACATACGTATACCTGTGCCATGCTGGTGTGCTGCACCCACTAACTCGTCATCTAGCATGCTGGAGAGGATGTGGAGAAATAGGAACACCTTTACACTGTTGGTGGGACTGTAAACTAGTTCAACCATTGTGGAAGTCAGTGTGGCGATTCCTCAGGGATCTAGAACTAGAAATACCATTTGACCCAGCCATCCCATTACTGGGTATATACCCAAAGGACTATAAATCATGCTGCTATAAAGACACATGCACACGTATGTTTCTTGCGGCATTATTCACAATAGCAAAGACTTGGAACCAAGCCAAATGTCCAACAATGATAGACTGGATTAAGAAAATGTGGCACATATACACCATGGAATACTATGTTCTCATTTTTCTGCCACTACTATTCCATCAACCCAAAAATTTAAGTCAACTCTTACTTTTTAAATTATATTACATTTTGGTTTTAATAGTTAAATAAATGACCAACATTCACAGTTGCTGCTACTGGACCATCTATGCCTCTCTTGCTGTGTCTGCATATTGATATTCTTTAATAAAGTTTCAGACTATATTTATTTAGCACAGAGTACTACTTTTTTAAAAAGTAATGTGATTCTCTTTTCATAATACATAAGAAAGAAGATGAATGCTTATTAAGCAACTATTAAGATCCAGAAACTGGGTAAAGAATATATAAAATTATTATGCCCATGAGGCTTCAAAATAATTATTGATTTATTTTGGATAGAGCATAAAATAGATTAACTTTTACAAATAAAGCATGATTTGTGGTCATATTAGCACATAAATTAGCCAGTGACATCTCTCATTCTGAAATTAGATAAACATTCTTTTCGAATTGAAAAAAAGCAATAAAAATTATTTATCTGACCCTGAATCATGTACATACTATGAACTAGTATGTATACACTATGCAATAAGTTATGAAATTCTCCTTGCATACTGTATAATTTAGGCTTAATTTATACATTTTGATACCTCAAGTTAGGTAAGTATTACAGATTCACTCTCAAGAATTTACCCTTTAGAAGGGTAAAGTTGGATAATAGTCAGATAAATGCACTAGAATCATAAAGAGATGGAACCTTGAAGTCAATATTTTATATACAACTTATGTATATTAGCTTATTTAAACATAAATAGTAACTATAAAATTATTCTGATCCATGTCTTATCTGACTCAGAGTCTGGTGTGATAAGTAAATGCGATAAATAATATGACAGCAATATATAAACATAAAACTACAAAAATATATGCAGTTATATTCATTCAGGAAAGTGAGTTTTCTAGACTTAACGTTTCATTTAAGTGCAGTGTTTTTAAGGTTCTCATAAGGAAAAAAGCTGAGGACAGTATTCCTATTGATGAGCATTTTAGGTCGTGGGTAGGACTGATAGAAATCTCTTAAGTGGTTTTCCAGACTGGGTGATTGGGAAAATTAGACATTAGTATTTATACATAAACATGAGATAAAATGTGATGATTTTGCTTAATTGAAACCTGTAACAGATCTTGATTGAAGCATGCCATGTAGCCAGTTTTACTTTGATCCCTTCTGAGTGAGACTGGCTCTGTGGAAAGCCAAGGCACGCAGCTATATCTTGAGTAAGCATCAGGAGTGAAAACTATATATTGGTGCTTTTCTTCCAAGACAAAGGTTACAATATGACAACAGTGGATAGAAGAAAAAGGCAAAACTTTGCTTTCTTGGTTTGTCTTGGATTTGTATGTTGTTTAGTCCTATATGTCTTACTTTAGAATGGAAAGTTCTTGTTTTGTGATGGAGACTATGACTCAAATCTCATAAAGAAAACATAATAATGTGACATGCTTCTCAATACCTTTGATCTCACTTGATAAAAAAACAAATCTTCAATTTCCCATATTTCTAATAAAAAGACAGAGAATTCTGCACAATAGATTCAGAAATCCCAAAGATCAGGGAACTAGATGAAAGCTGTCTGGCAGACTTGCTGGTGTATGAATGTTCTAAGGAAAAGAATGTTTGAAAGCTGCAAAATTTGCCCTGGTTTTCTCAGTGGAATTATATAAACAATGTAATGAGTTAGAACTAAGACTTTAGCTGTGACTACATTTTGAAAAGATATTAGTTGCCTTCATCATCTTCTTTCATCTACTTTTTCTACCTACTGTCTCAAGTATGTTTATAAATAGTATATACAACTGGTTAAGAGTTCAGGTACTTGTGTCAACAAATATGGTCCTTGATTAGGTTCTGTCAATATGAAGTTAGACATTTAAAAATAAAGTTCAGTTTCTGCATGAACTAAGAAATATAATGGCTATCTCATAGAGGTAGTAAAATTGAGACCATATTTATAAAATGCTTAATAAATTTTTATATGTGGCATAATATGAAGAATAATTGATTATTATTAATAATAACTATGTGCATTATATATTTGATCATGTTAATTATTTAAAAATACAATCTATTATGGGCTCATCTTTGGGAAGCACTAACAGAGACATTTACTTATTGTCAGATTTATAAAGAATTGCACTGAATCTTTCAGATACTACTGATTAGCTAGAATATACAATACAAAGGACTTCAAAATTTCAAGTCCATTAGACAGACTTTGAATGTTGTCATGTTAAAAAGAAGGTCCTATTGGAAAAACATTCTCCCTATTTGTTACGGTGATCCATATATCCTCCAAAATGTGGAGAAAATTCACTAGCACAATATCAGCATTTACAAAGCTAAATTACTAGCACCAAATAAAAGGTTCTGATTTAGAATTTTTTAGGTAGACGATACTCCTTGTTCATATCCATCCTGTTTTTAACCTCTCTGTGAAATTTCTTGAGATGACACCTTACTATTTTCAGTGCAAACTAAATGGACCTCTCTATGATTGCACCCTATAATCAGGTTAAACTTTAAGGGAGAAAAAAAAAAAGGAAGCCACTCTCTAGTACAAATATTCTCTGCCTCTTGTTTGAAACATTTATTTTATAACATGAAAAAACAAATGACAAAGAAAAGTTATAAGAAGTTTACTTTGTATAAACATAGGATGGTCTCTAGTGGGAAATCCATTTCTACTTTAAGAATGTAAATGAGGAAAATGTCATTCGTCGAGAATACTTACAGGGAAAAAAAATACGGACTGTAAAAGTACACTGATGTTTAAATCCTGCATCTATTCAATGCTAGCTGGATGATCACAGGGTTAAAATAATCTTACCTAATCATGTCTGTACTCAATTTCCATATCTTTAAAAAATACAAATGTACTCTATTTTATATGCATACTTAATGGAATAACTAAAATAGCATTATTAGCAATTAATTTCCAAAACAGACCTTCATGAAATGCTTATTATGTTCATGGCACTATGTTTATTAATTGCATATATTGCTTTATTTATCTAAAAATGACCTCTACAGTATTTGGATGTAGGGACTCTAAACGTTTTGTTAATTTCTGTATCAAGTAATAGATTACCTCATGTACACATGGCTCTATGACAAAGAAATGTAACACCTAAAGGATAAGTGTATTACTTGGGTGGCCCCTGTTATCAGGAGGAAGCTGCAGAAACAGGCCATGGAACAAGACAGTACTTTAAAGAACCTCCTGAAAGTGGCCACCTTGGTATTTTACAGTAGGGATTGGGGGGTGGTGCTCAAGAAAGAGAGAAGAGTTGCAAGAAAAAGGCAGAGGCTCTAATGGCCACCTTGTAGGCCTACACACCCCAGAATCTCTGAGGTGCCCCTATTAGTTGCTACTAATATAGCAAGTCAGGGCACTTTAAGAAGGATTGCTCAGGCAACATGAGGAAGGGGACCACTAGAAGGTGACCTCCCCATGGAGATGTAGGTCACTGAGTCCAGAGCCAATCTCCCCCATGGTCCAGCAGGAATGATGGGTCCCAGGGCTCCTCCCACCAGCTCCAGTGGCTTACATGACCATGGCCATCTAGGAGCCCCAGGTGATTCTGGAGGTCAAAGGGTGGAAGATGGACTTCCTCTTGAATATCAGAGCCACTATTTCTGTTCTCCTGTACAATCAGGCCTTTCCTTCTCCCTTAGCATAACTGTGAGTGGTGTCTCAGGAAAGCTTTTAACCAAATATTTTACCCAGCCCCTTAGTTGTATTTGAGGAGACCTCTTGTTTACTCATGCCTTTTTAATCATGCCTGAAAACCCAACTCCTCTGCTGAGCAGGGATATTTTAGTTTGTATGGGAACCACCATCCTTATGATTCCAGGATGACTTATTAGTCCATAAGTTTGGGCAACTCAAGGGGAAATTGGCTGAGCCACAATTGCCATACAGCCCAGATCCACCTTAAGGATCCCACCTTCTTCCCTAATTAGAGACAATATCACCTAAAACCAGAAGTTAAGAAAAGACTAGAAGCCATCATCAATAGCTTGAGGATGCAGGGCCTCCTCAAACCCTGCAATAGCCCTTGAAATATCCTGACACTGGGGGTAGAGAAACCCAGTGGGGAATGGATACTGGTCCAGAGCCTCTGCCTCATTAATGAGGCTGTGTCCAGTTCATCCAGTGATTTGCAATTCCTATACCATGCTAACTGAAATACCTGAGGGAACTAAATGGTTCACAGTCCTTGACCTAAAGGATGCCTTTTTCTGCATACTGTTACACTTCAACTCCCAGGATTTGTTTGCATTTGAGGATCCCTTCAACCAACCATCAAGCTAAGCTGAATTGTGTTACCTCAAGGATTCTAAGACACCCCCACCTGTTTGGGCAGGTATTGTCAAAAGATCTCTCTGAATTCCTTTATCTTCAGGTTAAAGTTTTACAATATGTA
This sequence comes from Homo sapiens, assembly GCF_000001405.40. Lineage (NCBI taxonomy): Eukaryota > Metazoa > Chordata > Mammalia > Primates > Hominidae > Homo > Homo sapiens. The sequence continues at coordinate 30,282,975 of NC_000009.12, read as the reverse complement.
AATGATATTGTCCTTTGTGCCCCAACTGAGTATATCTCTCAGGAGAGCAGTAAGGCTGTTCTTAATTTTCTGGCTAACAGAGGATATAAGGTCTCAAAATCTAAGGCTGACCTCTGTAAGACTTCAGTGAAGTACTCAGTTCTAATCTTGTCAGACGGGACCAGAGAACTAGGCAAAGAAAGGATTAAGCTCATCTCCTCCTTCACCCTCCCCAAAACCCTCTAGCAACTGAGGGAATTCTTGGGCATTACAGGATTCTGCAGATTATGGATACCTGGGTATGGTGAGATAGCTCGTCCCTTCTATCAACAAATAAAGTAAACTCAGGCAGCTAAGACTCACTCTCTAATTTGGGAACCAGAGGCTAAAAGGGCCTTTAACCAAATGAAACAAGCCTTGCTTAAGGTGCCAGCTTTAGTCTTCCCAAAGGGAAGATGTTCAATATTGATGTATCAGAAAGGAAAGGAATGGCCCTGGGCATTCTAACAAGGCCTGATGTCCAGCCCATAGGCTACCTAATAAAGGAGCTTCATTAGGTGGCTAACAGATGGCCACCCTGCTTCTGGGCATTTGCTGTGGTAGCTTTGCTGGTGCTAGAGGCGAGTAAGTTAAACATGGGGAATAACTTAACCATTTATACCCCACATAATATGACAGGACTGCTGTCTTCTAAGGGAGGTCTCTGGCTAACAAACAACTCCCTCCTCAAATATCAAGGTCTGCTATTGGAGGCATCTGCAGTCCCATTAATAACCTATCCTTCCCTAAACCCAGCTTCCTTCCTCCCAGAGGAAGTTGGAGGGCCTGAACATGACTGCAAACAGATAATAGTGCAACTCTCTGTGGCAAAGAGGACCTCAAACAAACCCCCTTAGAGAACAGACAGGAGTCTCTTGTTGGACCGAAGTTCTTTTGTAGAACAAGGGATTCATAAAGCAGAGTATGCAATAGTCACCCTGAATGACACTATTCGAAGTGTGCTTCTCTTCTCGGGCACAAGTGCTCAACTAGCTGAGCTAATTGCCCTCATGAGGGTGCTTGAATTAAGCAAAGGGAAAGCAGTAAACATTTATACTGATTCTAAGTATGCTTTCTTCGTCCTCCAGGCCCATGCTGCTATCTGGAAAAAAGTATAATTTCCTCATAGCTAATGGGTCTCCCATTAAACACCATCAGCAAATTGACAGACTAGTAACCTCAGTTTTCCTTCCACAGGAAGTGGCAGTAATACATTGTAAAGGTCACCAAAAGGGAACAAATAAAATAACCAAGTGAAAATATTGGCAGACCAAACAGCTAAATCATCAATGAGAGGCCCCAGATTTCTGATCCACTTGAGGCCCCTCTGATCTGGGAGTGACCCAAAAGAGAAATAAAACCTCAGTATTATCCTGCAGAAATAGAATGGGACACCTCTCAGGGATGCACCTTTCAGTCCTCAGGATAGCTACAATTGGAGGATGGCAAACTTCATCTACCAGCTTCCAGCCAATGGAAAGTTTTTAAAATCCCTCACCAAACCTTTTGCCTAGATAAGGATAAAACCTATCAATTGACCCAAAGGTTGTTCTCAAGTAAAAATCTGCTAAAAATGATCAAACAGTTTGTTAATGCTTGTGAAACTTGCCTTAAAAATAATTCCTTCAAGCAATGGCATCTCCTGCCTAGAACTCAAAGACTGGAAGGCTACCCAGGGGAACACTGGCAAATGGTTTTTATCCATAGGCCGAAGATAAAAGGCATCCTGTACCTCCTGGTACAGATAGATACCTTCACTAACTGGGTAGAAGCATTTCCATGTGAGACAGAGAAAGCCTCTGGAAGTGATAAAAGTACTAATTAATGAGATAATTCCTCACTTTGGACTCCCTAAGTACCTCCAGAGCAATAATAGCCTCTTGTTTAGGGCAGCGGTCACCTAGGGGGTCTCAAAGGCCTAGGTATACAATACCATCTTCATTGTGCTTGGAGACCACAATCTTCAGGAAAGGTAGAGAAGACAAATGATATTATCTAAAGGCACCTCCAAAAACTGTCTCAAGAGACTCACCTCCCCTGGATTACTTTTCTCCCCAGGGCCCTACAAGTGTTAGAAGCACCCCTTTGAAGCTGGGTTTAAGTCCCTTCAAAATTATATATGGACAGCTTTTTCTCACCAATAATTTCTTGCTAGACCAAGAAACCTCTGATTTGATTAATCATATAACTTCTTTGGCCCATTTCCAACAGGAACTGAAACAACTGTCAGAGGCCCAACCCTGTGAACTAGAACCACATCTATTCAACCCAAGGGACTTAGTACTGGTAAAGGCTTTTCCTTCTCTTTTTTTCTCTCTAGCCCTGAATTGGAAAGGACATTACACTGTATTTCTTTCTACTCCTTCAGGAGTGAAGGTCACTGGAATAGATTCTTGGATTCATTATACTCAAATAAAGGCCTGGGAAACTGATAGAATTACCTCTGTTGCCCCAAAAGAGTACTTGAAGCACCAGTGTGAAGAAATTGGAGACCTCAAGTTAAAGATCACAAAAGATAGATGTCAATAATTAACTTTCCATGGCTATCTCCTTTATAGTCTTGCCTATGCTTGCTGTTCTCACCTTCATTCTGTTCCTCAGCATAAGGTGTCTTGGTCAAGGACCCCATAATCCTGAACACCCGTGGGATCATCTACTCCCCTAAACAGCTATTTCTCTTCTAAAATGTAACTCCCCTCCACCATACAAGATTGAATTTCTTTCACCAAGGTGACACAGCTTTGGCCACATTGTTTTCAGAATGATAGTTTATTTTACTTTTTATTTTTGCTATCTCTGGCACTGGTATGGATTTTCCGCTTTTACCTCCTCTTTGTATAATACTCATATTTGGCCCACAAATAGTTAACCTCCTTGTAAAATGTGTTTCTTCTCACCTAGAGGTCATCAAACTCCAAATGGTCATGTAATGGAGCCCCAGACAATGACTCCCTTTTACTTGGGATCCTTAGATAGGCGTCTGAGAGAGATCTGACTGCTGTTCTCCCAAGACAATGCCCCCTGTCATCATGAAACAGATCAGTCACCGTCCCTATCCTAACGGCAGTTAGATGTACCTCTTCAGATGAGGGGTTGATAGTGACAGGAGACAGACAGATTCCTAGGCAGACAGGGACAAGCCCCGGTGAAACCTGACCTTCAAGCCAAAGACAGCCTGAAGCCTGAAAACCAAACTGCCAGTTCTGAATGGAATCCACCACTGGTGTGAAAACTTGTATCCTGTCTTATCCACTCAAAATGAACTCATTTCAACTCATTGGTTCCATCTGGATGGTGGAACCAATCAAATAGTGCTTTTTCCAAGAACACCCATAGATCAATGAGTACACACTCCCCCATACTAAGCCCATAAAATTCCAGACTCAGCCTCATAGATGGCTACCCGCTTTCAGGATCCCCTTTCTGCTTAGAGCTTTCCTTCTGTTACTCAATAAGATTCTTCTCTGCCTTACTCTCTAGTGTCCACATACTTTATTCCTCTTCGTCACAGGACAAGAACCTAGAACTTGCTGAACTGCGTGCAGCAGGAACAAATGAGCTGTAACCCTCTCATTTGCTGAACTGAGAGAAGTGGAAATGAATGAGCTGTGATCCTCCCTTCTGCCTGGTGAGCTTCAGGTGGCAGGAATCAACGAGCTGTTGCATGCTCCTGCTCGACAGACTATGGGAGAAAGACAGCTATAACATGCTCCCACTTGACGAGCTATGAGAATGAAGAGTTCCAACATTTCTTGGGGGTGCAGACATTGGAACTGCCTGAGCAAGAACTGTAACACCCCTTGGAGCTTGAGATTGCTGGCATCTTCAAGTTTGCAGGTGCCACCATGTTCCTCTCATTTAGACACTGGCACCCAACACGGAAGCCACTTGTGGCATCCCCAGGCCAGCTGTGGGATGAGCATGGAGCCATGGCAGGTGTAAGATCTGAGCAGTTGCAAACCCAGCGCAGCCTTCTGTACCAAGTGGGTAGAGTGAGCCCCGCGGGCCTGAGCAAGGCCCAGACAGAGGAGATGGCAGTTGCAAAGATTTCCAGCTGGCAAAGCAGCATCGAAGGAATACTGTAACAAATTGTACTTCAAACCACAGCATCATACAACATACCCATGTAACAAACCTGCACATGTACCCCTTGAGTTCAAAATAAATTTGAAATTTTAAAAAAAGAAAAGAAATGTGGTCTTTCGGCTTCCAAGAAGAATCACTTTAGAGTTAATCTCCAGATACAGCTCCCCTATATTCACAGTGACTGATTCATAATGGAGCAAACCACAACATCGATTAAAACAGATTTTGTGACTTGTAATTAAATAACATTTATGTCTTCAACATTGGTTCTTCATCCTCTCCAGGGCTCAGAATTGGAGCCACAGGACATTCTGTATACCACAGAGGAAACCGAGGTCTGAGCCCTGATTTCTAGGGAGCACTTTGCAAACACTAAATAGTGAAGGTTGTGTCAGTCCCTTTAAGTTTTCAACTGCTTTCAAGCTCTAGAAGCAGTTATTCAGAAGTTAGGTTACTTACACATCAATTTTCACCACAGTGACCCACTAAACATTAATTTAGCTAACCTGTCAAATATTTCAGCCCAGGGTAGCAAGTGGGACTCCCACTCCTGTACTTGACTATGGATACTGTCTTTAGGTAATACAGATTTGTTTTCATTTCAAATAATTGATTTAAAATGAAATCACTGTTTTCTTTATTAAGGGTACTTTTGAGTTTTAATTATTATTTTTTCATCTTGAATTTATATGCCTTACAATAATGTTTGTAGCAGAATTGCTAGATACGGTAATGGATCATATTTTTCTTATTATTGTCTTTATTTTTAAATTTTATTTTACTTTTTGACTAAAATCATTCATAAGCATTACATTTAACACACAGCAATATAAGAATATATTTTCTTTCAAGATTATCTTTACTTTGAATATTTGTTTGAGCCTTTGAGGCTTAGAGTGGCCTGTACATTTTGTGGTGTCAGTAATTGCTATTCTCTTTTACATTTATTACCTGCCTTAAAAATAAAACAAGTAATATTATTTTCCATGATTGTGTATTTCTAGCCATTGCCGTCCCAAATTGCACAGTAACAGGGTGAAACTTATTTGTAACATTTTATAAATTGTGACTCCTTCAAGAGAGGCTGTATGTAAATATGTAGTCTGACAAACACTGGCCTAGATTCGAACTATCATTGAGTTCATTAGCACCTGGATTAGATATAGTAAAAGTCAAGCCATCATACATAAAGAACATTGGGACCAGAGGAGACATTCTGACACAAAGTCCAATTGTGTCAGTATATACAGTGAGCCCTCCATCTGTAGGTTCCACACCATGGATTCATCCAACTGTGGATCAAAAGTATTCAGAATAAAACAGTAAAAATAGGAATACAAAAATAAACAATAAAAAATTAAAAATAAATTATAATAATTTTATATATCATTATATTGTATTAGGTATTATAAGTAATCTAGAGATGATTTGAAGTACACAGGAAGATGCAAATATGCAAATACTTCACTATTTTATAAAAGGAACTTGAACATCCATGGATCTGGTATCTGTGCAGCCCTGTAACAAATTCCCGAGAATACCAAGGGACAATTGTAGCTCTCTAATGGGTGCATTGAAAGTGATCAAGTGTTTGTGTAATTGCATTAAGAAAAATGACTGGCTTTGGGGTGGTAGAGGGAAACAAGTGGCCCTCCATGCCCTGCCTGTATTTCAGAATCTTTTGTTCTTGTGAGACTTGAAATTGTAGAGTGGAGCATAGGAATACGCAGAGTGGACATTGTAGTCAGGTAAAATCCATCCTCATTTCTGTATCTTCCTCATTCTGAACACTATATATACTTGCCTCTTGGAGTGTGTGATTCATCTTTCAAACTCACTCTCTTGTTCCTATTACTTCTCCCAGGACTATTGTTAACTTCACTCTTATGTTTAATGTTTTTCTGGGACAATCTCATCTACTTCAAATGCCTCAAATATATTTCTCACTCCAGTATATTTTCTTAGCTCTGGAATAATATGGCCAAGTTCAAATTGTCTATCTCTCACAGGATGCTTCGTGAACACTTCGAATATAATAGTTCTAAAATAATCTTATCTGCAAACTTTAGCTTTAAAATGTCATTCTTCTTGAAATTATATAAGATTTATTAGTAACAATACCAATGTAGTCATCCAAGACAAAAAAATCATTGATATGCAAACTCAGCTTTTCTGTATAAACAGATTTCTAAATTCTAGCCATTATATCTTTAAGATATTGAATATATTCCATCTATGTTATCTTTACTTGACCAACTTCAATTACTCTTTGTGGATACTTCTGTACTTAACATTTATGTTGTAACTTACTGTGCAATTATTTTATATTATTCCTAAAAAGAAATATGTATATTTTCTCTGCTTTATTCCTACATATACACATGAATGATTTTCATTATTAATTCAAAAAATATTAATTGAATACATACCACTATCCTATCCATGACAGATAGAATGGTAAAAATATATTCTCTATCTTTATTGCACTCATATTCCAGGGAGAAACCAAGAACAACTATTCACTTAAAATTAAAATGATTTCAGATAGTGATAAGGATAAATGTTATGACAAAATGAAGTGTTGGTGATTGAATAAAGATTGATGGTGGAGGTGGTGAGTATAAAGCTATTACCATAGGAAGGTCAGAGAAGACTTCTATAAGAAAGTGGTTTCTGACTTGAAACCTAAATGATAAAGGTGAAGTGATGCAAAGATGTAGGTGAAGAATGCTCTAGTAGGGAGATAGAAACAGCAAAGTCCCAGAAACAGAATAAACTTTATATTAGTCAAATAGTAGAAAGAGTGGGATATCCGGAGTGTAATGAAAGGTTGGAAGCGTTATGAGGTTAGAGACTGGTAGAGACTTCATGTTTTAATCCTTGAAATACCAGGTGAGGAGTTTAGATTTTCTTGTAAATGTAACAGTAAACCTTTGCATATTTTAAATAATAGAGAAATAGAATTTGACTTATACTTTATAAGTATCATCTGGTATAGAAAAAAGGACTGGATGAGATAATCAAGCACACATAGAAGATAATTGATAAATATGTGGGTATGACTTCTGACTGGAATGCAAGGCTGGTTCAACATATGCAAATCAATAAACATAATCCATCACATAAACAGAACCAATGACAAAAACCACAAGGTTATCTCAATAGATGCAGAAAAGGCCTTTGACAAAATTCAACAGCCCTTCATGCTAAAAACTCTCAATAAACTAGGTATTGATGGAACATATCTCAAAATAATAAGAGCTATTTATGACAAACCCACAGCCAATATCATACTGAATGGGCAAAAACTGGAAGCATTCCCTTTGAAAACTGGCACAAGACAGTGATGCCCTCTCTCACCACTCCAATTCAACATAGTGTTGGAAGTTCTTCCAGGACAATCAGTCAAGAGAAAGCAATAGGAAAAGAGGAAGTCAAATTGTCCCTGTTTGCAGATGACATGATTGTATATTTAGAAAACCCCATCATCTCAGCCCCAAATCTCCTTAAGCTGATAAGCAACTTCAGCTAAGTCTCAGGACACAAAATCAATGTGCAAAAATCACAAGCATTCCTATACACCAATAACAGACAGAGCCAAATCATGAGTCAATTCCCATTCACAATTGCTACAAAGAGCATAAAATACCTAGGAATCCAACTTACAAGGGATGTGAAGGACCTCTTCAAAGAGAACTACAAACCACTGCTCAACGAAATAAAAGAGGATACAAACAAATGGAAAAACATTCCATGCTCATGGATAGGAAGAATCAATATGAAAATGGCCATACTGCCTAAGGTAATTTATAGATTCAATGCCATCCCCATCAAGCTACCATTGACTGTCTTCACAGAATTGGAAAAAACTACTTTACATTTTATATATAACCAAAAAAGAGACCACATAGCCAAGACAATCCTAAGCGAAAAGAACAAAGCTGGAGGCATCACACTACCTGACTTCAAACTACGCTACAAGGGTACAGTAATCAAAACAGCATGGTACTGGTACCAAAACAGATATATAGACCAATAGAACAGAACATAGGCCTCAGAAATAACACCACACATCTACAACCATCTGATCTTTGACAAACCTGACAAAAACAAGAAATGGGGAAAGGATTCCCTATATAATAAATGATGCTGGGAAAACTGACTAGCCACATATTGAAAGCTGAAAGTGGAGATTAGCTTTTAACTTAGAGATCTAGCTGGGGAGGATGACAGTGGGGCACAAACATTAATAACTTATCAGGAATGCATTGAGAAGGGCACATATTCACAGGAAATACAATAGGTTAAATTTTGACATGTTCATTTTTATATGCTACTGGGACATAAAAATGAAGAAAAAGAATATTTGTTAGAAATGTGAGATATCTGTACTGTATAATTTAGGTGCATGAAATACCAGGAAGTTAAGTAATAGGTCAAAAGTCATTCAAAACATAGAAGTCCAAGGACGTGATTTTGATCTGACTCCAGGTCTATATTCATTGCCTTGTTTCTTTTTCCACCCAAGAATGTGGCCCTTAATCTCCCTAGAAGGAATGTTTTTCTTCATCCCTTAACTCAGCCAGATAATTACTTATCTTATTCTCTCAGTAATTTGTATAAACTTCTACTAATGCCTAAGCTCATTGTGTCTCAACTATTTGTTTAGAGTTTTTTCCTAAATAGTTTGAAAGCATCTACAATTTTTGAGAATATATATTAGTGTATATATAAACACACACATATATACACATATATATTTGCTCAAAAATATATATAGTGTGTGCGTGATGTATATTATATATATAATTGACCCAAATAGCACATAGAAAAGGTGGCCTGTGTGACTTCCTAATATAGGTTATAAAAGGCATCGAAGCTTCCTCCTTGATTCCTTCCCTTAAATTAATTACTTTGTGGACTCCAACTACTATCTCATAAAGACACTTACATATATATATATATATATATATGTATGGACCTTCCAGTATCTCTCTATAGAACAAATAGAATGAGCTATTTTATAGAATTATTTTCAAATGGCACCATTATGTTTTACTGCTCAAGGACAGGTTGAAATATATGAATTCACAGATCTGCCCTCATGTACGTAAGCTTTGCCCTATAGAGAGAAAATATCTTACATCTTTGGAAGACTGTGCTGAAGTTCAGCCAGTGCCATTCAGTATCACAGCAGGACTATCACAGCCCATCACTTCTAAAAGTTAATGTACCATCCTTCACAAGATCCTCTCTAGACTAATATTGCCAAAGGTTAAATGACATTAATATAGAAGTTCATGACTGCATAATGCAGTTTATAATCCTGAGGACATACTTTAACAGCAACAACCATTCTTCTCATATTCCCCTTATCTTTTAGATATAAAAATTGCTCTTGTGGAAAATTATCATTTACCAGAGGTACAATTCTTGGTGATGGGGCTGCATGGGGCACAGAATAGCTAAAACCTTCAGTAAGAAACAAAACAGTAGATAAAGCAACTGCCATCTAATGACAGTTAAATTTCAACACTTGATTTTCTTAGGTCCTTTTTTCTCTACAAAACAGAAAGTATAGAACTCTTTCATTTAATCCGTGTCCCTATGAGAACATCCTGTTTGTGCATGCTTATGTTCATGTAACATGTATCTTGTTTTTCTCTTCCAGTGAAGTTTTTCTTTCTCATTTTACTGATTATAGCAGGTATCATGTATCTCCTAAATGGTCTCAGATCCCAAATGACTCTTCGACTTGGCTAATACTTACATTTTAAAGAGAGAGATATGAGGTACTCCAGCAGCTGGAAATTCATTATCCATGACTAGGACATTTGTTTGAGTTCCTATATACTCAGCTACGTTAAAGAACTAGGCAGGTATAGGCCCGGCACAGTGGCTCACGCCTGTAATCCCAGCACTTTGGGAGGCCAAGGCGGGTGGATAACGAGGTCAGGAGATCGAGACCATCCTGGCTTACATCGTGAAACCCCATCTCTACTAAAAATACAAAAAATTAGCCGGGCGTGGTGGCGGCCACCTGTTGTCCCAGCTACTTGGGAGGCTGGGGCAGGAGAATGGCGTGAACCCAGGAGGTGGAGCTTGCAGTGAGCAGAGATCGCGCCACTGCACTCCAGCCTGGGCAACAGAGCAAGACTCTGTCTCAAAAAAAACAAAAAAAAGAACTAGGCAGGTATGTAGCAACTTCAAGAAAACTACTGCAGTGCTTAAAAACTTCTAGATTACAGTTAAGCATAAGGAACTCTTTAGGATTTCACTCCTCTGGGTGTTCCTTGCCCTTAGATTGTGGAGGGTATTTTACAAAATGTTCCATTTTACCAATCTGTTGGTTGTTGAAAAAATAGAACACTCTGCTTTAAAAACTGTATTTCATTCCTGCTCATAACAGTTTCACATTGCAGAATAGTGATCCTAGTCAGCACCCTTAATAACACCACTTAAACTTTAAAATACAGCAGTATATGCCAAGTTACAGATAGAAAATGTCTCTCCAAAACATATATTTTTATGTCCAATTGTATAATCCAAAATTAGGATTGCCAATTTAGATCATGATCAACAGTTATGAATTATTAGAAACAGTCAAAAACTATAAATACAATTCAAGGGAGTATTTGAAAACAGTCGTCAAGCTGCTTGAATATTTTAGAAACACTCAAGCTGCTTGAATATTTTAGAAAGACTCAAGCTTTTTCTCTTGAAAAAGTTTCTTCATATATATATTCAAATAAAACCATATAGAATTTGGTTATGTCATGGGTACTTTTAGGGAATCCTTAGAAACATGTTACTTTAATATAGATTTCTATGGTAAGATTACTTCAGGAAAATCTGGATTAAATAAAGTTACAAATATTCCATGGTGGTTTAACAATATGTTTATTATCCTTTGTTATTATTCCCTTTAAGAGATGGATCTGAAATCTCTTCTCATCAATAATGGACTGGACTTAGTGACTTATTTATAATAAATAACTCATAGAAAAGGTGGCCTGTGTAACTTCCTAAAATAAGTTATAAAAGGCATTGAAGCTTCCTCCTTGATTCCTTTCCTTAGATTACTTACTTTGTGGACTCCACCTGCTATCTCATAAAGACACTTAAGCAGCAATGTGGAGAGGTACACCTGAAAAGTAACGGAATCCTTACGTCAGTAATCTGCACTAATTTGCCAGGTAAGTGAGTAAGCCATCTTGAAAGCAGATCTTCATCTCTGTCAAACTTCCAGGTAACTGCAAACCCTAGCCAGCATCCTGATGGCAAGCTCATGCATGTGAGGTCATACATGTTTACTGTTTTTTTATTCTAATTTTTGAAGTAATTTTCTATGTAGCATTAGATTAAAAATGCAGATTATTTTATTCCAGAACTTCTCAAAGGCTTTAATGTGCTGATGTGTATTTCAATTTAGAGGAAAGTTTTACATTACTCTGAGAAATACAAATATTTTTAACCAAACTACTCATTTCTCAACTGTATTTCTTGTAATATGTAAAACACTCTGCATAAAAAGATGGTGTGTATAAAAGCCAATATTAACTGGTAGCTAATATGTTCTAGTATTTTTATATGCATAATATAATTGAATCCTCACTAAGGTATTACAATGTATTATTTATCCCAGTTAGCACTTAGTAGTAGTAAGGCTAAAAGAGAAGAAGATTTTTCCCCTGATAAGCCACAGTTGTTTTTCATGGCAGTGGGGTTTAAATGCAAGATTTACTTAATACAATTGCATAGGTGACTGAAGAGATGGATTTGCAACTAACTAGCTTTGGGTATCAGTTTTTGTAAATTAAAATGAGGAAGCTGACATTTTTGATATGTATGCACTTTTTAAGCACCAAAATTCTGTAGTTGCACTATATGAATTGAAAAGCAGAAAAAATATTTTATTAATATTCCATCTCAACTTAGTAAAAGTATTAAATTTTTAAAATAATGTCAGGTTTACAATGGCAAGAACCCATTATTTTGAATCACAAATAGTGGTTTTTAAATTACTACTCCAACTAGCTACATCAGATGCTTCCGTAGCAAATAAAAGCAATTCTGGTAATATAACTGAGAAACTTACATTCTCACCTAAGTAATTAACATTTAACTCCTCGGTCTGGAGAGGGATCCATGAAACATAGATCTTCCAATAACTAAACAAAATTATAGTTCTATTTTGTAAGCAAGGAATTTTATTGGAGGAGCCTAATTATTAGGCAACCAGTAATGTCTGCTGAAACGAGAATATGAAATATAAAACGTTGAGCATTACACAATTTAAATATTCTGTTTTCTTCAGTGTCCTTACATGTTAAAGGAGAATTATGCCTACCTTAAAGAGCTATTTGATTATTACATTGGGTAGTGTGATTTTTAGTGTGCCTAAGGAAGATCTATATATGTAAAATGAATTTATATATACATGCATGGCGTGTATTTATGAATAAATTAGTAAATAATTTTTGACTTCTTTATTAATGGAGACTGGCTTTTACTTCAATTATTCTAAACTGGTAAAAATGGACTCTCTTGGAGATATTAGGATTTAACAAGCTATATGGAAATTTTAGGAATACATTTTCTCAATTTGCATATCCTTCTATTTCCATAAAATCCCCCAAGTCCTTAAATACACCTAAAATACAAGTTTATCTTCATGCCAAATTTTATTTATGTCCTTTACTTTCATTTTGAAACAGCTGTGACGTGAAAGCACAGGTTGCTACCCTGCTGCAAAAAGTTCACTTGGGCATAGTTTTATTATCATCCATGAGGACAGGTGGTTCTAAAGTAGCCTGACAGTTCTGTACACCCAGGAGGATGCATAGCAAATGTGCCACTACATAGTGAGTGGAACATGAACTGAAAAGAGATTGGTGCCAACATTAGAAAGTGGCTGCTGTTGCTATTAGAAACACAATTATGAATTCCTGTCTTGAATAATAGAAATGCTGTTTCAAAATTACTACATCTAATGAGAAGTCATACATTGTGTGTATTTAGCTTAGAGAAGAAAAAATTCCATGGACTTGATAGTATCAAGTTTTAAGGGATTTTGTGAAGGACTGCTGGAGTGACAGTATGCAAGCAGTAAAATGTTTTGTCAGGCATTGGATTAGCTCTCTTCCCAGTTGAGAAACCAGGAGATTGTTTTCAATCTGGTTGTTTCTATTTTGCTTAGATACCTATACTTAGTAACACCTTGAGGTCTTATTTATATTCTGGAATTTAAGAACAAGAATGTAATTTATTTAGAGAAATTAAACCCACAGCATTTCATGAACTAAATAAAACTTGTCAAGCTATCTTAAGAATATGTAAGTATAACCCATGAAAATAATTAGAAAACATTAAGCATATAAACTGGTCTTACTCTACCAATCCTTTTAAAATTATTCTCTTGAAATCCAGAGGCAGGAGTGTCCACAAGCCTAAATTTTAAAAATGGATAAAACACTAATTCTACAAGCATTTTTTAAAATAAAATGTCTTTTCCTTTAAGATTGGCTAGAACAGCATACTATATGGTCCAGGGAAGCACCAAACATTTGCATATTAGGCCGGTTTAGGCTTATTCAAAAGAGACATGTTCAATATTACTTAGGAGAGCATTGCTCAAACTTACAAATTAATAATTTAAAATTCACAAAATAATAATTTTATTCATACCACCTTTAACTCCTTGAAAGAACCATTTATACTCCCATTTTCTCTAATCAGACCATCGAATCTGTTTTGTGGGAACCATCAATGACCTTCCAGTTGTTAGATAGGTATTTCTCTAATCTTCTATGACATCCAAGCCCCATCTAACATATTCAGTCACTTATTTCACGAAAACAAAAACAAAAATTACCTCACTTCTGGGACTCATTCTCCTGGTTTTCTTCTTGCTTCCCTGGTCATTTCTTCTCAGTCTCCTATGCAGATTCCTGATTTCTGATAGATCTCTTAAAGTTGAAGTGTCCCAGAGCTCAGTTGTTGGACATTTTCTGTTCTTTAACTATGATCATTAAAAATCCCATTTATATGTTGATTGTTTATAGATTTTGTATTATCTCCAGCCTGAAATCAATACATGTTTGTTGAACTGTCATCTCCTCTTGTATGTGTAACTGATACCCCTAATACAACATGTTTAGCAGAACTATTAATCTTGTCTCCATAAACCTGTTCCACCTGCAATTCACTTTGTCTCAGTTGTTAGCAACTTCATCAAACCCCAAACTTGAGGGCCACCTTTTATCTCTCTCTTCTACTCTCCTTCTCTCCTCTGCTCTTTCCTTCTCCTCCTTTCTCTCTCTTCACCCAACTCTGGAGCAAAATCTATTGGCCATTCTAGTACAAGTAATCATCTCTTGACTAGTGTACTCTAATTACTTCCTACACATCTCTCTGATTTTGCTCTTTGATTCTAAAAGAATATTCTGGGCAGAGCAGCAGGAGGTATCCCATTAAAATCTGAGTACAACAGGTCACTCTTCAGTTAGAACCCTGCACTAGTTCTTCATTTTACTCAGATTAAAAGCCTGCATATGCTCTGACCTTATAGAGTCTAACCTCTTAGCATCTTTTTGACCTCATCTTACATTTCTGCCCTTTATATATTCTACTGAGCCACTGTGGTTTCCTAACTGTTCTTTGAACAATCTTTGTGTGTTCTGTGTTAGTGTCCTTATATACTGGATTATTTTTCTGCCTAGAACTCTTCACCCGTATATTTTTCTGCTAATTTCTTCATATCTCTCAGGTCTTCATTAAAATTCCACCTCTCATTTCACTCAGCCTTCTCCACTCTACTACAATTATAATCTGTGCCTTTACAGAAACACTACCAGTTCCTCATACCCTTTTTTATTTTTGGTTTTTATTATGCTTATCATTTTGTGATAATTCATATATTTTATTTATTATATTCATTTATTTTTTGTCTTAAAATCTAAGTTTAATGAGGGTAGGAATCTTTGTCTGTTTAGTTCATGGGTATATTTCAAGAGCATGTAATAGTACCAAGTGCATGAGAGATGATCAGTATGTATTTGTTTGATAAATTAACTAAAATTATTATTTAACTTAATAAAACTTCTCTAAGAGAAAAATAAATGTTTTCTACAAAATAATGAATGTATATCTAACAATGCCAATGGCATACTTCCTACTAAAATTATAAATAAAATTATAATTTGTTATGATTGTTTTAATATTGTGATTTTTCTAGTGCAATAACATAACAGAGAAATGTATAATTATTATAAATTTTAATTTTAGATAATATAAATGAAACTTAAAAATAACAAGATGCCTACTAAAGATATGTGAGTACATAGAGGAAGTCAATAAACATTCTAGAAATAATATAAAAGTATATCACAAACAGTGCTACATGATATTAGCAGAAAATAATTACAATTTTTTCTATTTTCAGCAAAAACTTAAAAATACTTTACTGCAAAATATAGTTAACTTCATATAAACTCACATGAATGAAAATGTATTTTAGAAGACCAAAAGGTTTGAATATGTGGAAATTTAGCCAGTCGTGGAAGAGAAGGATTTCAATTTGTGCATAATTAAGATGGTTCTGAGAAAGTCATGTGGCCTTACTTCCCTCATCTTTTGAATTAGAGAATAGGAATAGATTAGTGGCTTAAAACTCTATTTAGCAAAGTTTCACCTGATGTAAAGCATCATAGAGACCTGAGGGAGGTAAGGAACAAATAGAAGAAATGGGAGAAGGTTAGTTTCCACATCTATAGCTTCACCCAGAACCATTATGCTGTGTTAGTTAAAAGGTAGATTTGGTGTCAAATTTTCTTTAAATAAAATGTCTACTGCTAAAATCCAAAGTTTAACAACAATAGATTGTATAAACATAAAATAGCTTGCAACTCAAACATCTTTAAATCATTTGATTTACTGAGAGCCTAATATGTGCAATAACTTATTCTAAATGATGTAGGAAGAAATATAGGCACGGGGTAGATTCCTTCACTCAAGAAACCTATATCCTTTTCTTGTGGAACACGACACTAAAAGTAGAAACTATTTAGTTGTGTTTTCATTGAAGGCTGCAAAAGGAAAGAGACCATCATTCATTGCCTGAAATAAAATCTTTTTGTTTTGTTTAACAATAATTCTTTTCCTAGGAAGACAGAAATAGAGGAAAAGTAAAGAGATAATCTTATATGGGGTTTTTTTTTTTTTTGAAGAAAATAGAGCTCTCAGATATTGTCAGACCTTGAGCAACGGAAGTGTTTAGGGTTTGGTTGAACTATAGCTGTGAAAGGTTATCAAATGGAGATTATTTCTGATTGACAGACTTTTAAAAACCTGAGCAGCGGAAAAGGCAGTTGCTGCCAGACTGACTTTAAGAAATATGCTACCAAAGGAAGTTGTCATTGATCAAAAACGATGGGGTTAAAATGGACTCAGGTGGTTACTTATTGGTATGACCAAAAACAGTCAGTCTTTTTCTAGGAAGACAGGAACTACTTATTCTCAAGAGAAACAGAAAACATGTGTGTCCTTCCACACTCAGCAGTGTATCCAAATCACGTTTCCTCACACTTTCTCTTTTTCTTAAAACCCCAAACAAACAAAAATACTAATAGAATCCTAATCAAAAGTAAAAATTCATTTTAATGTATGAATTGAGAGGAGGAGCTATTATCCTGCTGGTCACCAGATTATTTTGCTTCTCTAAATATGGGAAATATGAATGCAGCAGTCCAAGGAAAAAGCAGAGATCATGCCAATAAGAATCATATTGTCAAAAGAATAAGCTGCCTGCAAATATTTTATAGCCTTGGTTCTTGTCATAATATAAGTTTAGTGTGATCACTAGAAGTGTTGGGAAACGAAAAAACAATGTGGAAAGGATAAGATTGAGATGTGGTCAATATTGTACTCAGATTTTGAACAGTGTGCAAACATTAAGATGGGAAAATACAATAAAAATTATGTTGCCATTAATATAATATCAAAATGGCTTTAGAGCACACATAAGAAAAGTAAGCATGTGTACCATCTATTAGTAATGCATTAAAGAGTAGAGCTCTCTCTGAAAAACATATTCAGGAGCAAGGTGGCCAAATAGAACCTGTCAGTGACCTTCTCCATGCCCTGCCAGGAGCACCAAATTGAACAACTATCCATATAAGGAACCACCTTCATAAGAAGCAAAAATCAAGTGAGCAATGACAGTACCTGGTTTTAATATCATATCAAGGAAAGAGGATAGGAAAGACAGTCTTTCACTGCCTACACCACCCCTCCCCTGTACTCAGGCTACATGTGGAGACAGAATCTGTGTGTGGGAGGGACAGCGAACTGATTGTGGAACTTTATACTGGAACTCTGTGCTGCCCTGCCACCATGGAACACAACACAGATTTTCGTCAGTGCCCATAGAGGGATCATTTAGACCACTGTTCTAGCTCAGTGGTAGGAATCTGAGTTCTGGCTAGCACTCCCCACCAGTGAAATAAAGGGCCCTGGGGTCCTGCATAAATTTGAAAGGCAATCAGGCCACAAGAACTACAGTCTTTGAGCAAGTCCTGGTGCTGTGTTGGGCTCAGAGCTAGCGGACTTGGGGTGCACATAACACAGAGAGACACCAGCTGTCCAGGCCAAGGAACAGCCTGTGCCACCTCTCCCCCAACCCCAGGTAGTGCAGCTCACGGACAGACTCCTGCTTGCAGAAAGGAGACAGAAAAGAGGACTTTGTCTTACAATTGGATACCAGCTCAGCCACAGTAAAATAAAACACCAGGCAGATTTCTGAAATCCCTAGTTCCAGGCTCCTTTCACCTGCAAAAAGGAGTGACAACAATAAAGAGGGCTTTGTTTTGCAACTTGGGTACCAGCTCAGCCACAGTAAAATAAAGCCCCAAGCAGATTCCTGAAGTCCCTGATTCCAGGCCCCAGCTCTGAGAAGGCATTTTCAGACCCAGGCTGAGCCAGAAGGGAACCCACTCTCCTGAAAGAAAGGACCCAGTCCTAATAAGATTCCTACTTGCTGTGTAAATAGCCCTTGGGCCATGAATAAATGTCAGCAGTAGCGAGGCAGTAGATGCCGTGGGACACAGTCAAGACCCACAACTGTTCTGGCTTCAGGTGTGATCCAGAGAAGTCCTAGCTGTGGTGGCCATGCGAGTGCTTGTGCCACCCCTCTCCCAACGCTAGAAAGTTCAACCGGAGGAGAGACTCCTGCTTGGAGAAAGGAGAGAGAAAAGAGGACTTTGTCTTGGAATTGGCTACCAGCTCAGCCACAGTAAAATAAAGCACAAATCAGATATCTGAAATCCCTAATTTCAGGTTCTAGACAACATTTTTATATCCACCCTGGGTCTGAAGGGAACTTGCTGCTCTAAGGGGAATAACCCATTCCTGGCAGGATTCACTACCTGCTGACTAAAGAGGCCCTAGGCTTGGAATAAACAGTGGTAGCAAGGCAGTAGTTGTCATGGGCCTTAGGTGAGACCCACAACTGTGCTGACTTCAGGTGTGACCCAGCACAGTCCCAATTGTTGTGTCCATGGGAGTGCTTGCTTCACCCTTCCCCCAAATCCAAGCAGCCCAGCATGGAGAGAAAGAAACTCCTTCTGTTTCAGGAAAAGTGAAGGAAGAGGACAAGAAACACCGCCTGGAAATCCAGGGAATTCTCCTGGGTCTTACTCAAGCCCACCAAGTCAGTACCTCTAGGAGTTGGCAAGAGTTGCAGTGTTACCAGGACACACTGTAGTGCAGATATGGCTGTAGTGACAAAATACTTAGATCACAACACTTAATTCCCTTTGAATACCTGGAAAGCCTTCACAAGAAGGATGGGCACAAACAAGCCCAGACTATAAAGGTTAGAATAAGTACCTAACTCTTCAATGCCCAGACATTGACAAACACCCATAAGCATCGGGAACACCCAAGAAAACGTGATGCCACCAAATGATTATGAAGACATCATTGTTTTTGGTACTATTTACCTTTTCTGGAGAAAGGGATGAAACTAGAGAAGACAAAATAAGACACTAAAGCTAAAAGAGATATTGGTTAAAAATATCTTGCAAATAAATATAAGCTTAATGATTAGAAGATACTTTGTAAAATGTATTAAACATATGTAAGTGAAAACAATTTTCTACTTAATCTGTCACTCATTCATTCAAAATATTTTAACTATGTACTAGATGACATGAATTTTGATAGTCACTGGGAATACAAGAGTATGTCAAACTCCTGCCTGTATGTGCATACTTGCTTAATCTTCTTTAGCATTATGTTATCAGAGTTAGGGAGACAGACCCCAATGCAATAATAACTAGAGACCTCAACACCCCACTTTCAACATGGACAGATCATCCAGACAGGTAATCAACAAGTAAACATTGGATTTAATCTGAACTATAGACTAAAGGGACCTAATAGATATTTACAGGACATTTCGTCCACCAGCTGCAAAATACAGATTCATCTACTCAGCACATGGTCTAATCTCAATGATAAATGATATTTTAGCTTACAGAAGCAGTCAAAAGGTATTCAAATTATTTAAAAAATTGAAATCATATCAAGTGTCTTCTCTGAACACAATGAAATTAAGCTGGAAATCAGTAGCAAGAGGAACTTTCAAAGCTGCACAAACACATGGAAATTAAACAGTATATTCCTGAATGACAAGTGAGTGGATAAATGAAAAAAATGAGAAGAAAATTTAAAAATTTATTGAAACAAATGAAAATAAGAACACAACATACCAAAACCTATATGATACAGTAAAAACAGTGCTAAGAGGAAAGTTTATAGCGATAAGCACCTACATCAAAAAAGAATAAAAAGTTCAAATAAAGAAACTAATGATGCATTTTAAAGAACTTAGAAGAGCAAAAGCAAACCAAACCCAGTTAATGGAAGAAAAGAAATAATAAAGATTAGAGCAGAAATCAATTAAATTAAAACAAAAAATACAAAAATCAACAAAACAAAATTTGTTTTTTTGAAAAGATAATATTGACAAATCCTTAGGCAGACTAAGAAGAAAAGAGAGGAGACCTAAATGTATAAAATCAGAAATGAAAAACGAGACATTAGAACTGATACTTCAGTAATTCGAAGGATCCCTAGAGACTACTATGAACAACTATATGCCAATAAATTGAAAAGCCTAGAATAAATGGATAAATTTCCAGATAAATACAACTTACCCAGATTGAACAATGAAGAAAACCAGAACCTGAATAGGCCAATAAAAAGGGACAAGATCAAAGCTGTAATGAAAGTCTCCCATCAAAGAAAAGCCCAGGACCTGATGGCTTCACTGCTAAATTCTACCAAACATTTAAAAAAGAATTAATATGATTTCTACAAAAACGACTCCAAAAAATAGAGGAGGGAATACTTCCAAACTTATTGTATGAAGCCATTATTAACCTGATACCAAAGCCAAATATGCAACAAAAAATAAAATTACAAGCCAATACTCTGAGGAATATTGCTGCAAAATTTTTCAACAAAATACTAATAACCAAATTCAACAACACATTGAAAAGTTCATTTATCTTGACCAAATGGTATTCATCCTAGGGTTGCAAGAAAGGTTCAGCAGTAGAAACCACTCAATATGATACATCATATCAACCGAATGAAGGACAGAAAACATATAATCATTTCAATTGATGCTGAAAAATTATGTGATAAAATTAACATTTTTTCATGATAAAAACTCTCAAAAAATAGATATAGAAAGAACATAGCTCAAAACAATAAAAACCATATATGACAGATCCACAGATAGTATAACACTGAATGAGGAAAATGTGAAAGCCTTTCCAATAAGATCTAGAACAAGAGAAGGATGCCTACTATCACCAATGTATTCAACATAGTACTGCAAGTCCTAGCTAGAACAATTAGACAAGAGAAAGTAATAGAGGGCATACAAATTTTAATGGAAGAAATCAAATTATTCTTGTTTGTAGACAATATAATCCTGTATTTAGAGAAAGCAAAAGACTCCACCAAAAAAAACTGTTAGAATTCATAAACAAATTCAGTCAAGTTGCAGGATAGAAAATAAACATATAATAATCAGCAGCATTTCTATATAACAATTGCAAACAAACTGAAAAACAAATGAAGAGAGTAACCCCATTTCTGATAGCTACAAAGAATATAAAATACCTAGCAATAAATTTAACCAAATAAATGAAATATCTCTACAGTAAAAACCATAAAACATTGATGAAAAAAATTGAAAAGGACATAAAAAATGGAAAGACATTTCATGTTCATAAATTGGAAGAATTAAGGTTGTTAAAATGTTCATATACTAAAAGCAATAAAAAGATTCAATGCAATCCCTATCAAAATATCAATGACATTTTTCACAGAAATAGAAAAAAAATCCTAAAATGTATATGAAAACACAAAAGACCCAGAATAGCCAAAGCCATCCTGAGCAAAAAGAACAAAACTGAAGGAATCACATTACTTGTCTTCAAATTATATTATAGAGCTATAGTAATCAAAACAGGATGGCACTGGCATAAAATTAGACACATAGACCAATAGAATAGAATAAAGAACCCACAAAAAAATCCACACATCTACAATGAACTCATTTTTGACAAAGGTGCCAAGCACATACGTTGAAGAAAGGACAGTCTCTTCACTAAGTGCTGGGCAAACTGGCTATCCATATGCAGAATAATGAAACGAGACCACTATCTCTTGCCATGTACAAAAATCAAATCAAAATGGACTAAAGAATTAAATATAAGACCTCAAACTATCAAACTACTAAACAAAAACATTGGGTGACTTTGTAGAACATTAGACTGAGCAAAGATTTCTTAAGTAATACCAAAGCAAAAATGAACAAATTATGTCACATGACAAAAGCTTCTACACAAAAAAGAGAAAAATCAACAAAGTGAAGAAACAACCTACATGATGGGAGAAAATATTTGCAAACTATCTATTTGATAAGGGATTAAAACTGAGAATATACAAGGAGCTCAAACAACTTGACAGGAAAAAAACCTAGAATCTAATTTAAAAAGAGCATAAAATCTGAATAGACGTTTCTCAAAAAATGCATATAAATCATATATAAAAATGCTCATGTCATTGATCTTCAGAGAAATGCACATCAAAACTACAATGAGATATCATCTCACCCCAGTTAAAATGGCTTGTATTCAAAAGACAGGCAATAACTAATGCTGGTGAGAACATGGAGAAAGTGGAACCCGCCTACACTATTGGCGGTAATGTAAATTAGTGCAGACATTATGTAGAACAATATGGAAGTTCCTCAAAAAACTAAAAATAGAATTACTATGTGATCTAGCAATCCCACTGCTAGGTATACACCCAAAATAAAAGAAATCAGTATATTGAAAAAATATGTGCATTTTCATGTTTATTGCAGCACTATTCACAATAGCCAAGATTTGGAACGAACCTATGTCCATCAGCAGATGAATGGATAAAGAAAATGTGGTACATAGACAAAATGGAATATTATTCAGCCATAAAAAATAATGAAATTCTGTTATTTACAACAACATGAATAGAACTGGAGGACATTATGTTAAGTGAAAGAAACAAGCCACAAAATGACACATTTTGCATGTTCTTACTCATATGTGAGCACTAAAACATAAAACTATTGAACGAATAGAGATAAAGAGTAGAATGATGGTTATCAGATGCTGTGAGGGGTAGCAGGAAGTTAGGGGAAAAGGTATGGATGGTTAATGGCCAAAATATATTTATAATGAATAAGGGCTAGTATTTAATAGCACAACAAGTGATTATAGTCAATAATTATTTATTGTTTATTTTTAAATAACTAAAAGGGTAAAATTGGAGTATTCCTCAAACGAAGAAGTGATAAATGCCAGGGGTGATGGATACCCAATTACCCTGATGTGATTATTACACATTGTAGCCTGAATCAACACATCAGTTATACTCCATAAATATTTATACCTATTATATATCCAAAATAATTAAAAATAATACATTTTAAAAACGTTTTTAAAAAGAACGTTTTCATATTTTTTAAGTAGAGCCAATTAATCAAATGTTATTGATATAACTTTGATTTCTATGTCAAAGATTTTGTAGTTCTGATTTGTTCACAACAAATCCGTATTGCAGTTTACTTCTCAAGCAAAGTAGATAATTCCTTTTAAGACCATTTCACAAAATATACTTTTAGGGAAAATTTTGCTTTTTTTTTTTTTTTTTTTTTTTTTGCTTCTAGTGTTACTAAAATCAATCCTATTTGGATGACTACAGGACTTTTTACTATTTTGGCAGTTCAAAAGATTTGCCAGACTCTGTATCTAAACCTATATATTCATATATCTATACTTACAAGGATATAGATATATGAATATGCATATATGTATGTATAGACATATATATGGGTGTGTGTGTGTGTATATATATATATAACATTTTGTAAATATATATAAAGATAATTTGCTTAGAAAACATAGTTTTTTTTCAATTGTGTTTGTTTCATACATTTTACCAGTTTGGGCAATGTAAAATGTTAGAATAAATCTTATTACATTTCCTTTTAATATTCCAATGAATTTCACCTTCTTTTTCAAATTGTACAACAGCTATACTCTAATCACATATAAAGTTTTATAATTACTGAGTTATTGTTTCCATTATAATTTTAAAGTAAGGTTAGCCCTGTATTGTTTTCATTGTAAAACATAACTATAAATCAGTAAAATGAACAATTACTTTTACTCATATTTAAAATAGTTGAGTGGAATACAATTAATTTTGCTTATAAAGTAGAAAATAATAGTTTGAAAACTTACAGGATACCTCACCCAATTGCTGGAAACATTGAGAGTAGTTTAGAGGCCACTGATTGTCAGAACCACATGCAAAATATTTTGCAGAATTGGGTTAGTAAGCACACTATTGGTCAAACCGCTGAGCACTAGATGCAGCTACCCCAATATTAAAGACCCTCGACATTTAGTATCTCTACTGGAATCATTACAATGTTGCCAAATTTGGGAAATATAATTTTGCCCTACAGTCTGGTTGGTGCTATCACTCACATTTCCTAGTGTTCTCTACCTATTTGCATCACTTAGTCCTGATTCAAAGCCCAGGATAGCTCATAAATACGCACTCTGGTATCAGAAAAAGGGCCAAAGTGAATATTTATTCCCTTTAGTGGACGGTGCATTGAGACGCACCAGACATTTGACATAATTTCTCCCCTTGATAAATTTGCTTATCTGTAAATAAGCAGAGAGCAGATAAAAACAATAACAACAGCAACAATGCAAACAGTAGCAGCCTAGTGCTCTTAGTAGTGTCATAGGGATAGAATCCAAATACCGAAGTTCAGGGCTTCAAAGATAGGCAAACTCTGAGAGACCAAGTTTCTGAAGAAAAGAGAAAACATAAAAGCCGGCCCAATATTTTATGCCATTTATCACCTCAAGGTTATTTTCATTTTCTTAATCTTCATGAAATAAGAGACCATGAAAACAAACAGAAAGCTGAAGCTGAGTCATGAAACCTGAGTAGAGTGTCTAGTTGTCTTATAGTATTGGGGTTTTAAAACATGGAGTTTAGGGCATGCCCAGTATGAATAACAAAAGCAAATATTCTACGTCTCTAGTTGAACCCTCTGAAAAGCTATGTACTACCGAAAAAAAAAAAAAAAAAAAAAAACAAGAAAGAAAGAAACAGACTGGTGCCTCTGAAGTTTGAATCACAGGCACTCCTACATGTATTCACAGTACATATCATTGTCAACTAAAAGTTAAATCATTTCAGGAGGAAGATAACACCCTTTAGAGCTTCTAAAATGTTCCAGATACAATGAACAGTATTACAAAGAGTACTGGATACATCTAAATACAGTACTAAGTTGTCTAAGACCGACTAGAGACATTCAATAAAAATAGATCTACATGTGATCAAAATCCTAGAATTATTGGAAACAATAAAACAACTGTAACTAACTGTATCTAACAAATGAAAAAATTCATGAGCAGACTGGAATATAGAAAATAGCAAAGTGGATAATCTAGAAATTAGAAAATTAAATATAACAATTAATCATAAATGGTCTTTTTAACAGAAAATTATACGAACAAACTGAGAGAATCAGTAAACTATAACAGGTCAGTACACGGGAAGGGAAAAGTAAAGGAAAATGGATATAAGAGCATAAGAAACATTTGAGACAAAAATGAAGTTGTCAGTTATCCTAAGTAAAGTACCAGAAGGTACAGTAGGGTGAGATGTGGCAGGGCAAAGGGAAGAAGTATATCAGGAGAAAGATTCAGGAGGAGCTACAAATTCCAAGTATGTTGATACAGAGAAAACCACACCTGGAAAAACCATTGTAAATGGCAAAACAGAAGAGAAAATCTGAAAAGTCACTAGAATAAAAGAAACACCACCATCAAATAAGCAATAATAAGACTAATAGCTGAATTTTTGAGAGACATATCTGTACATGGAGTAATTATATCCGTATGGTTTATTCTGTTTCATTCAGAAATAGTTTATTAGTATTAATTTTAATTACCTTATTATTGAAGGCAGCAAGTCAGTATTTCTTTTGGCAGCAGTGGTGGTTACTTAGATGCAATGCCTTTATCTCTATTCAGCAATAAAGAGTTTATTCACCCAGCTGCTGGGAATGCTGGTGGCAACCAGTACTCACCTGTCAGTACTTATTATAGATTGCCTCAGCTGAAGATCCTAATGCCCCAGCATCGCCCCAGATGAAGATCATCACCAAAGGTGATGAACCCATGCAAGGTTGGCCTTCGTCCAGGGTTGACACAGTGTTAATATAGCCTTTTTTGTGTACAACTTAGGACAACTCTGAGGGGTTCGCTAATCTTTAGTACTCACGACAGGGATGACTGAGCCATTTCATTGACTGCACTTCATCTTGGCTTCTACCTCCGACTCATCCAGCTTTCCTCCTTCCTCATCCACACCTGTAGATCTCAGGAGATCTCCCTAATATACCTCCCACTCTCTGATTTTTTCCTCAGGGTCTATTTCTTGAGGAAATCAACCTGACAAGTAGGTTCCATACTTTTTTTTTCCAACAGTTGAAACAAAGTTTTACTCTCAGTTAAATTGAACTAAATTTTGCTTCATGTTTTCCCCTCAAACTATTTAAGATTTTTATACTAGATGTTTTGTATAGCTACAAGAATAAAATTTCTATAGACAAGTGATAGTATTAAATCAAATATGAATAAAAGAAAGTGTTGGAGAAATAAAGGCAAAAGAGAAAACTTTGAATTGGAATATTTATTCACCTCAGTATATCTTCCTGGATCAGGTGCATATCATTTGGTAAAAGAGGCAAGAAAACTAATTTACAAGTCTGTACATGGAGCTTTAGGAAGATTTTGACTGCCACTAAGGAATGTTTTATTTGACTAATGATGTCACAGGCATAGAGAAAGTTGAACAACATAATCATTTTAGAAGACTAGTTTAACTTTTAATACTGGTATTATGTATTTTTTCTCTTTATTGTTTAACATTTGAGAAATACACTCTTAAATATTTTTATTTTTACAATTCAGTTCATATTAGTTGCCTATTTTTAACAGTTTTAGTAAGATGTACTTCACATACTATAAAATTCACCCATTCAAAACTCGAAATTCAATTTTTTAGTATATTTGCAGATATAGACAATCATTACCACAGTCAATTTTAGCGCATTTTTATTATGTCAAAAATGAATCCTTACCCTGTGGCTGTCACAGCTTTATTCCCCCAATATACCCAATCCTAAAAAAAAAAACACTAATCTACATTGTCTCTATAAATCCTTATTTTGGACATTTCATATGAATGCAGTCATATAATATGTGGCATTTGTGACTGGCTTTTTCACTTAGCATAATGTTTTCAAGAGTCATCCATGATGTATAATATATCAGTACTTCATTCCTTTTATGTCTGAATATTCCATTGGATAGGCATGCCAAATGTTGTTTATCCATTCTTCCATTGATGGATATTTGGATTGTTTCCACATTTTGGCTATTATGATAACACTCTTAGAAACATTCATATACAAGGTCTTGTGTGAACATACACTTTCATTTTTCTTAGATATATACCTAGCAGTAGAATTGCTGGATCACAAAATGAAACTATGTGTAACCATTAAAGAAACTATCAGACTGTTTTCCAAAGTAGCTGTAATATTTTACATACCCGCCAGAAGTGTGTCAGAGTTCCAATTTCTCTAAATACACACCAGTACTTGTTAATAACTTACTATAAAATTTTAGCCATCTTAATGGGTATGAAATGATATCTTATCATGTTTTTGATTTGCATTTCCCTGATGTCTAATTATGTTAAGCAGCTTTTCACGTGTATACTGTCCATTCGTATATCCTCCTAGAAGAAATGGTTATTCAGATCATATGCCTATCCTTTAATTCATGTTTTCATTACTAAGTTGTAAAAGGTCTTTATATATTCCGAATACAAGTAACTTATGTATATGATTTGCAATGTTTTGTCTATTCTATGGGTTGTCTTTCTACTTTCTTGATGGTATCTCTTGAAAACTAACCTTTTAATTTTGGTGAATTCAATTTATTTTTGTTTGTTACTCATATTTTTGCATGTCATTTCTAAGACTCCTGTGTCAAACAGAAATTTATAAAGATTTATCCTGTGTTTTCTTCCAATAATTTTGTAGCTTTACCAATGAAATTTAGGTATTTGATCAATTTTACTTAATTTTTGCACATGGTGTCACATAAGGATCTCAGTTCTTTCTTTTGTAAGTGTCTGTTCAGTTGTTTGGCACCATTAGCTGTTATTATCTTATTGAATGGTCTTGAAGTTCCTGTCGAAAATCAGTTGGCCAAAATATGTGTAGGCTCATTTCTGAACTTTCCAACTTATTCCATTGATCTATGTGTCTATCATTTTATCAGTACCACACTGTCTTGATTGTCATTGCTTCATAGTAAATTTAGAAATTAGGAAGTGTGAGGTTACATACTTTTTCCTTTTTCAAGATAGTTTGGTTATTCTTGGTCCATTACCACTCCACATGATCAGCTTGTCTATTTTACAGTGAAGATCAGCTTGTCTATTTTACAATGAAGACCAGCTTGTCTATTTTACAATGAAGTCAGCTGAGATTCTGATGTAGAATGAGTTAAACCTATAGATTAGTTTATAGAGTATTACCATTTTAACAGGGTTGGGTCTCCTAATGATAAACACAGATGCTTTTTCCAGCTATTTGGATATTGTTTAATTTCTCTCAGCAATGTTTTGTAGTTTTCAGGTGATAAGTTTTATACTTTTTTGTTAAATTTATTTCTAGTATTTTTTTCTTTGTCATGTTTTTGTGAAAGGATTTATTTCTTAATATCATTTTCAGATTTTTCATTGCAGATATATAAGGATTGTGTTAGATGACTATTTTTGCCTACTCCATTATTTTCTGTAAAGCAGACGTACTATAAAGTTATCAGTGTTTTTGGTACTATTTCGTTTTATGGAGAAATATAATAAAAATAAAGCAAAATAAGAGAAGGCAAAATAAGACTGTGGTTGAAAATTAGCTTTGCAAATAAATATGAGCTTAATTATTAGAAGATACTTTGTGAAATGTATTATATATGTAAGTGAAAACAAGAATTTCCTACTTAATTGGCCACTCATTCACTCAAAATATGTTTAACTGCTTACTAGATGGCAGGAATTTTGGTAGTCACCGGGAATACAAGAGTGCTCTCAACTCCTTATGTGCATACTTGCTGGGTCTCCTTTATCACTTACTAGATTAAAACCATGTAAAGTCAGTGATTGTCTTGTTTACCCTTGAATGATGAGAACAATGTAAAATGTTACGGTAATGAATAGGGATGATGCATAACCTTGATATGGGGCTTTTGGGAAGAATTTACTCTTAATTTAGAAGTGTAAGAGTGAATATAGTGTCAGAATAATAGCCACTTAAACACATCTACATCAAAATCCTGGGAACCTGTAGACATATTACCTTACATGGAAAAGGTGACTTTGAAAATGTGCTTAAAATAAGTAATTTGAGTTTGGCAGATTATTCTAGGTCATCTGGGTGGGACTGTGTGTATGTATCTGCAAGGGTCCTAATGCGTGAAAGAGGGAGGCAGGAGAGTCAGTATCAGAGTGATGTGAGAAAGACTGGGCCAGCCATCTCTGGCTTTGAAGACAGAAGGGGCCCCAAGCCAAGGATGCAGACAGCTTCTAGTAGCTTCAAAGAATAAATGGATTCTCTACTAGAGTCTCCAAAAGCAATGCAGCCCTCCCAGTGTGTTGATTTAGTAAGACCCATCTCAGACTTCTGCTCTCCAGAGCTGTAAATTAATAAATTTATTTAAAACTACCAATTTTGTGGTAATATTTTACAGTAGTAATAGTATACTAATATAATGAGTAGGAGATAGGAAAGAGAGTCTGGTGTTGGTAGAGAAATTATATGTCAAATAATGCAAAGAAGAGAGAACATGCCATATTTCACATATTAAAAGTAATTTAATACATTGGAGATGGAATTTTTCAAGACAAGAAATACATTGATATCAGGGACCAGATTATGAAGAATCTTGCAAACCTTGTAGGAACTGAACTCTTCCCGAGGAAAAGGGTAGCTTTTGAAAAGGTTTAAATCAAGGAATAACTTCATCTAATTTTTTTCACAAAAGTCTTCCTGAATTCAGTTTGAATTCATGACAGCAGAATCATAGTCAGCTGCTGTTATTCAGACCACAGGTATTAATGACCTAAACAAGTTGGGTGGTTGCTGTCTTCATGAAAAGGATGAGAAAAACCAATAAAATAAGTTGCAGTCAAAATTAACAAAACACAGTAAAAATGGTGGACAAAGATAAGTCAATGATGAAAGCGTTCTTTATTGGGCAATAGATAGGTTGCAGAATTCCTGAATAGTATCTTGGTACTGAATGAGGTCTAGGGCATAACCCTGAGAATGCAGATATTTAAGAGATTTTTAACCCTAAACTTTAATCTTATTGTGTTATTTCGTCTCTGTTATATAAGATGCTGTGGAGTCAAAGAAAGCTGAATATAAACCATGGCTGCATAACAAAAGGCCTATTTCTTTACTTTAAAATTGTTTCACTATTTTCAAATGCGTAAAATAATTTCCATTGTGATGTTTTTGTAAAGGCAAAATAGGGTAATGACAGGTCAAATGCTTAGAAAAATGACTGGTTTATAGTAAGTGGTCACTAAACATAAACTAGTATTTAAAAAATTCGTCAATCATATTTTATCTGATTTGTTGAATATCTTTCCTTAATACCTTGAATAAAATTCCCTTGCTCTTAGATAAGGAAAGGCAACATTCTACACATAAAACATAAAAATCTAATGCTCAGTATAAATGGAACAATGAGCAATGATTCAAAATAAATGTTTCATATTAGTTTTGGCACAGAAAATATGTTCAAATTAATGCTCAATATTAGCCAAAGCACTGCAAAGTTTGTTACTAATAACACTACAAAATAATTCACCCAGGAAATAAGGAAATTAAATATAGCACATAAAGATTTATCCACTAACTGGCTATTTTTATTTGTGCCTATGATGTATTATTGTTAAATATTTAACTATCACACTTTCCTTAAAGGACATCAGAGGTTACATAGCATATACTCTTTTTTCCTTCCAAAATATCAAATTTTCTTCATTATTCACCCCTTCCATAAAACCATTTTCCTAATATTCAACTGAGGAATCTAATAACTCTCTCATACCTGTGTTACTATCATAAATTTTGTTAGACTAGAGTTTAAAATTTAATTGTCTTATATACCTTTGTTCCATCAATTACCTTGTGAGAACTTCGACTATAACAGTTATGCTTTATAATTACATAATCTCTTTTACAATAGCAAGATGGATGCATGATATGTGTTAATTGATAAAGAAGCAGGCATATTCCAAGATTCTCAGTTTATCTGACCAGGTAGGTAGGAATATGAAACTATAATATTTTTCTCATTTGATTTATTCACTTTTCTAATAGTTGTTTGAAATAGGTTATAACAAGAGTTATAATAACTAAGGGTAGTTGACATAAAATAGCCAAAATCAATAAATATTTTTAATATCTGTGGAATAATTTCATCAATATCCCAAAAAATATAATCTACAAGAAATGCTGAACTATGTAGAACTAAAATTTAAACTGAGTGTGTGCATAAAAGTATGTAAGCGTGTGTGTGTATATTTATATGTGTGTATATATATATTCTCTATCCTATTTCAGTTACAAATGGAGCTAGAGTAAAAGGGTTGAAACTTTGATCAGCATTTATACATATATATTTACATAGACTTTTCCTCACATTGTTTGCTATATAAGTTGGCAATTATAACTTGTTCCTATGGGAACATTCAAACTACAGCATATCTTTTTAGGTTTAGAATTGTTAGTTAAGAGATAACTTTTATGAGGCAGAACACAAAAATCTTCAAAGTAGATTTGTGAGTATAAATAGTACTTCTGCAGATTTTATAATAATGCATATTATATTAGTCTGCTAGGGTTGCTATACCAAAGTAATATAGAGTGGCTTAAACAACAGCCATTTATTTCTCTCAGTTCTGGAGACTGGAAATCTGAGATCAAGGTGCCACCAAGGTCACTGTCTTGTTGGGACTGTCTTTTTGTGTTGCAGATGACTATGATTTCTCTGAGTGCTCACGTGGCCTTTCTTTGGTGCATGTGGATGGGGAGACAGGGAGAGAGGAAGAAAATAAGCTCTCAGTTATCCTTCCCTATAAGAGCACTAAATCCATCATGAGGGCCTGTATTAGTCCATTCTCATGTTGCCATAAAGAGCTACCTGAGACTGCATAATTTATAAAGAACAGAGCCTTGACTCACAGTTTCACAGGCTGTACAGGAGGCTGGGGAGGCCTTGGGAAACTTAACAATTGTAGCCGAAGGTGAAAGGGAAGCAGGCACAATCTTCACATGGCAGAGCAGGAGAGAGAGAGAGTTAAAAGGGCAGTGCTACACAATTTTAACAACCCGATCTCGTGAGAACTCAGGCACTATCATGAGAATAGCAACGGGAAATCTGCCACTGTGATCCAATCATCTCCCACTATGTCCCTTCCCCAACATTGGGAATTAATATTTGACATGAGATTGGGGTGGGGACACAGAGACAAACCATATCAGGGCCCCACCTTTATGGCATCATCTACACCTAATTATCTCCCAAAGGCCAAATCTCCAAATACCATCACATTAGAGGTTACAACTTCAAGACATGAATTTTGGAGAAATGCAATTCATTCAATAGAACATTTATTTCAAAACTTTTGAATAGCCTCAGACTTTGAGAAAATATTTTCAAACAAGAGTTAGAAATGCTAATAAAAATATGGTAAGAGTAGCTTCATGATCACAAAATTATTCATTCTATGATGATTTATAGAATGCTGACTAGAAAAATGACAGTTTATGTCACTAAGGAAGACATAGTTTTACAATAAAATATTAGACAATTTTCAAGAGTTTCTGTAGGAGGTTTATTCAGTGGTGATAAACCAATCTAATTATTTTCCAAAATGTCTCTATTTTTTAGTATGATAAATTATTGCTTGTCTTCATCCATGACAAGAGTTGAAAATTTTAAATTAGTTTTTTGAAACAGAAAACTTTATATAAAAGCATGAAACCCTTAGAGGGAAAAATGACCAAATCTTTACTAACTCAAAATTAGAATGAATACACTTATTCTATATAACTCCTGAACAAACTTTAAAAGAATAAGTGAAAAGAAGAATTTCAGTAATATTAAAATGACTTAAATTCTAATAATTTTTAAATACATTAAAAAATAAAGACAACATAAACCCCTGAATATAAAATTAGTCTTTCAAAAAATCAAAGCAAATGAACAATTTATAAAATAAAGAAAGTATTAGAGATAATAATAGTTTGGATATTTAAATACCAGTAGTTTTTTTACAAGCAAAAATATCTGTTGGAAGACTCATAAAACAAATTCTAATTTTCCTGACATTCAGAAGCTAACTGGAAGGTTTTGAGCATAAACTGGCTCTATAATAATAACAGTTACTCTGATTTAAAAACAAAACAAGAATTTATATGAGCTATTATAATTTCAGTTTAACTATCAAAGTTGCTGTTTTCTTAAGGCTAGTACTTCTGTTTTGCTTTGTCATTTCATATCAGGATAAATACATTTTAATATTTGCTTTTATATTTTCCATTTGATGTGTCAAGTATTAGTGTATGATATTAAATTGCAGTTTTTCTGTCAACATTGTTCTCATCTCTTTCTTCCTCTCTTTTGCTGTCATTCATTATCCTGCATCTTCTTCTCACATGCTAATTTTTGTTTATATGTATTTGTTCTTCAAGATGGAAGGAAGTTGTCATTAGAAAGTGGGAAACAATATTTTTGTCATTTTTATCACGTCACCAATGTACCATAAAAATTGTTTATTTAATGAGGATTGGCAGCAAATACAGAGAATACATTCTAGAAAATCAACTTAAAGGATCACTTTTCATTTATTAACTAATTGTACAATAGTATAATATTATACATCCTGTCAGTATCATAGTAAACAACTCAAATAACTCAGCACTATTTTAAAGCATTTTATTTACTCCTTAGAATGACATTTAAAGTAATTGCTAGCCACTATGAAAATGGAATGTGTTCAGTGTTCAAGCTTCATTAGTAATTCAATATATTAACATATGAATGATATTTCTTTTGTCAGAGGGATCTGAAAGTATGCACATTTTCAACACTGTCGCCTGTTGAAAGACTATATTTGAATGGATATTAATTAATCAAATACTATAGAATTCATCAATGGGTGGGATTTAGCAGGGGGAGTGTTTTTGAATAAAGGTCAATATGTTTCCCGATCTTTGCCAGTGATAAGCTATATTTTGACTGGCTTCTTTCAAACTTGAGAGAATAATAAAGATAATGGAATCCCAAGGTGATAAACCTTCCTTAAGTTAAATTAAACATATTGTCATGCTTTGTTGTCTGCACACCTATATCTCACCCTCCAGTCTGTTAAGCCTAAAAGCGTTCATTTATTATAGACAATAGTCTTTTAAAGATTGGCCTTATGTTCATCATTTGTTAAAGTCTATACTATTTGCAAGAGGAGTTAGTATTTAGGCTCTGGGTTTAAATAGTGATATTTCATTGGAAGGACTTCCAAATGTATTATCAGCATCATTAAATTATATTTAAAAATTTAAGTCACATTTTCATAACCTCAATGTGAATATTATACCACTAGATGGAATTTTGAGTTTTGTATCGAAGTGTTTGGTACATGCTATAGAATTTCAGAGAAAATTATTTTATATACTTATAAATATTAGCCAGGATTCACCAGTACCCTAGACTAACTTTCTCTGAGAATTATTAGGAATAGTAAGAAAATTAAATTTAAAATGTACTTCTATGATGTCATACACTAGTGCTTAGAAGAACACTCACCAAGCAGCATAATATTAATCTTGAAAAGGTGAAATTAAATATAATTTTAAACTGTAGAAATCTGTTGTGTTTAATAATCTACAGCTAGCACTCTGGAATTACATTTGCTTTCACTTCACAGGTGTTTCAGTGACCACTGAGCTCAAGATTAAAAAAAAAAATACAAGAAAAAAAAAGCTGTTTCAACTGGTTAGTCACTGTTATCAGCAGCCAGCACATGGGCCAATTGTGTGCTGGTGACAAGCACCAGTAACTCACATCGTCTCCCCTCTTCACCAGGAATTGATTTAACCACAAGCTATCTGGTAGAATTTTAAGGAAAGAGCTGTAAGCAGTGCCTTAAGCACGATGTCTAGAATTCTTACTTCCTGGGATGAATGGGGATGTATGTAAGCCATCATGCAAGAAAATACATACTGGGAAAGGCACTAGGCAAGAAAATCTCCATGTATTAACAGACTTTGTGCTTAGATAGCAGATTATAAACAAGAAAATATGAATAAGGTTTTTAGGTTAAAACAAAATTGCTCCTATAAATTAACCCAGTCCTGAAAATATCAAAGATTTGTAAATCTCCACAATTTCTGTAGTTGAACATGGCTAGCAATTTAAATAATTTTCTTAAGAAATTCTCTCAGGTAGACTTAAACAGCCCATTCCCAAGAGAGTAGATAGGTGAGGCAACTAGGACCTATAGAAATGGAATTTTATTTGCAAATCAATGTCCTAATGAAATGAGATATAAAACCATACACTCTAGCCTATTAATAAACTCATCTTACAATTAGCTACATACAGAAAATGCTAAAGTGGCTATTCTAGGAATGTTTGAGAGACTATTTAAGGACT
The DNA here is from genome assembly GCF_000001405.40 of Homo sapiens. Lineage (NCBI taxonomy): Eukaryota > Metazoa > Chordata > Mammalia > Primates > Hominidae > Homo > Homo sapiens. The sequence goes on along the minus strand of NC_000009.12, from coordinate 30,247,417 downwards.
GAACATATGACTCCTTCAGGTTCTATTCTGTTTTCTTCAATAGTGAAAAGTGGATTCTGAAAAAGAGAGGAACGATGTAAGTTAGCTAACCAGTTTCCTATCAGGATAGGGAAGAGGGGGATTATAACTACATGTGGTAAATGCCTATGAGTTCATCTCTGCTTGAAATGACCTCTTCTACAAGTTTTCCGCTTTCAAATCTCTCAAACAGAAAATTATTGACAACTTCAAGAATTGCACCATGCAGGGAATATCACCCTAGGCTGAAATAATATTTCAGTTTATATGTTGTAATGCAAATAAATGGCACATCCATTCCAGGCTAAAATTTATCTGTCCATTTCCTACCCTATTTAGTCATTAATTGTTCTGTTTTATAATCAAAGTTATGGACCCAATGCAATCTATTATATCATTGACCAAGGATAAAAAGACAATTTTAAAAACTAAAAATAATATCATACTAAATATAATCCAGCTTTTAAAGGAACAATAAAAAAATTACAAATTTGTATTTAAAATTGTAAAAAACTTTCCTAAAACTTGTATTGGAGTGCTGATTATTTTTTATATTTTGTTTTGGGATAAATTTTCCAAAGTATTGATTCAACAAAATATAAAAAATACTGATTTGTCTGTACAAAATAAGTATCTTTGGCAAAGTATAATAATATAGTGGACTATGTAGCCCACAACTATTTTATTCAACCTATGAATTTCTGGGCATTTATCCTAAGTAGTTGCAAGAAGAGCATCAGTTCCTAAAATGTATTTCCTTCCTAAAATTTGCCTCCTTGAGATACAAGCAAATAAATAATGCTACTTCCTTTTGAGGAGGATGACTTAAAAATGCTCTAGGTAAAATGCAAATTGGGATTTATTTAGAAGTAAAAAAAATAAGAAATATACATATTTAAAGTCCAAAAAATTATATGACTTGAAAATAAGTTTAAAATCCACATGAAAATAAGCATTAGAGTTAATACTGAAACTCTAGAGAGAATAATTACAGGTGAGGTATCTCAATTTACTAAATAAATAGGGCTCCTCCTGATATGTCAGGCTTGGTCTTGTTTGAATTGTCCACTCTTGAATGAATCTCTGGATCCAAAAGTCACTGAGGAAGGTTTCCCAGAGCTTTGGGGCCGACATTCAAATAATCTACCAAGACCCTCCAGCTGCTCTATATACCTATCCATTTCTAGCGCCTGGATGTAGCTAGCTAATAGTGACTGTGGAAGTGATAATGGTTTTGATTATTGTCCTTGAATCTGGTATTCAAGGCCTATTCATTGCTGATACTGGCTGAGGTCAACCAGCAGATAGCTACTGTTGAACATGAAGCAGGTAGTTAACTAGGTGGCAGTGGCATTAGAATTAGTGGTGGACATGGTTTCTGCCTCTGATAATCTATACTCACTATAATAACTAAAATACAGATTTCAATTTCAAAATATTAATTCTGAGACCTGACATTTATTTAATGAAGAATCACCGTAAGATATTATTGAACCTGACTAATTTAAAACATTATATTTATCCAGATAAACAATATTGAAATAACACTTGCTATTAAAATGAAACTTATTTTTTAAATGAAGGCAATATGAGACCACTATGGAGAAGTTAAAATATTAAGGAAATAATAGTGAAAGCAATGACCACTTCTAGTCCTTCCAGAGAATTTCTTTTTGACCAATAGTGTTTCTTATCTTAGTGTCTGCTAATATTCATTTTGGATTATTTGGTATAAACTTAAGTATCCTAACCTAAACTTTAATTATGTAATATTCATTTTTAAATGAAAAATACAGAACAATATTAAAATAAAAATTAAAACATCATCCATAATATCTATTACTTATGGACTTTTTCTCCACATGTAGGTTTATATAGGTAAGATTATTCTACATGTTGTGACTTTTAAGCACATTGAACATAAATATATTTCCAGATGCTAGCAGAAAGAAAAAATGAAGGGGTTTCTAGTGATAAGTATTGTGTCTGGTTGTTTACTAGAATTTGTTAGTTAAATAAGAAAGCAAAATATATATATAATTTAAGAATACGTTATTCAGATTCCTTGACAATTAAAATGAGTACTTTGAAGTTTTATTTTATTCTCTATACCAGTGACATTTTTGTAAAAATACAAATAACAGTTTAGCCACTGCTTGTTAGTGGATTCTTGGGGGAAAAAAGAGACTGATTTGTATTTTAAGCAGCCATCAAGTATATAGAGAGAGTCTATTTATACCACACAATAAGGATATGCTTATTGGAATCACATTTTGTGGGAACAGTGATGAAACAGAAGCAGATGAGGAAGTGCAGAGAGGGTCAAACTTTCTTCCTGAAAATCCTCTTTGTGAAAAGCATCATGACAAATACTAGAATAAGAATCTTTAGTCACAAAGATTTGGTAATTTCTTCTGCTTTCAGTAGAGTTTCTTCATAGGTATACCTTTGCATATATTTCAATAATTAAGCAGAATATACTTTTATCTACTTTTTAGTATCTTCCTTTCTGACTTGCTTCTAGCTTTCTAAGAAGCATTATTGGCATTATTCCAGCAGTTAGTATTTGTTTCAGCCATTAAAAAGTGAAAGCTTGATATTCTGTTTCCAATTGTCATCGATCTATCTGTCACTATTTGATTGAATGACTGGGGGAAGGTATGTATATGCCATCTTAAAATTGTACATTTCACACACAAAATACAAACACATACACACACACACTTCATTTTCTTTCTCCTTATCTTACTTTTATTGCATTTAAAATTATCTAAAATTTTATATGTTTTATTTTTTCATTTATTTTATCCCACTAGAATTTAAGGTCTATGAAGGCAGGAAGTTTCTCTGTTTTGTCTACAACTGTATCCTCCATGGCTAGATTATGACCAGCACATATTAGTAGGTTGGTGCAAAAGTAATTGCGGTTTTATGGTACACAATAAATATATATTGATTGAATTATTAAATGAGAACAGAACTCCCAAATTATGAATGAGAAAATGGAAGCTGATTATTTAATAACTGCTCCAAAGTACACAAATAACTAATAGAGATAGATTTTGAGCCCAAGTCGGCCTCAAAGTAACATTTATATTATATTTCTAAATCAAGATTACTGCCTGCAAAAGTGAAAGTCCCCTGCACTTTATTTTCCTAAGGGTCTATAATATACCTAAAACTAGGAAGTGAGTATATGTGCGAGCCACATAAAAAAAAGACTATTGAATATTTATTTGCTTGTTTTGCAGTATCCTCAACTGGTTTTTCACTTGAATCTTTCATATAGCAGAGGGCCACTACTCTTAAATCCAACCAAAATCTGCTTTATATTTATCAGTTTGAAATCACTAACCAACCCTATTTCTTATATTGATAGGTGTTAACAGGAAATAAAATATACATTGATACTAATTATGCTGTTTTGAAGGAAATTCTCTTTCATTGCTACTCCTTTTATTTTATACTTACAATGTACGTAAGATGGTGAAAGAACACAGAGGAACAGATTTAATGTGCCTGATGGCTCCCACAACAGAATCTTAAATAGCACATAGACTCTTCTTTGCAAAAGCAGATAAAAGATTGCAACCATTAAGAGGCCATGAAAAAGAGGACAAAGAACTTAACAAACATTTAGCTTCCCCCACAAAGCATTTCATCTTTGTCAGAATTTAATTTAAAACATTTCTGACACTCAATTATTCACTGTAGACAGACTCTGAATCAGATCATCTGCTGCCAAAGCTAAATGATCAAATAGAGAGATATAAACCTGAGTGTTTTCTGCATAATGATAGCTCATAAAGATAAAAAATTCTTCCTAAAGGCATCATGTACTGTAGATATTAACACAGATTCCAGGAAGGAAATGGAAACCCAAACAAATATACTTGTATACTTCAGAACATAGAAATACCCTGAGAAATAAAGTTGAAACTCTTAGTAAAGATTTTAATTGGATCTAAGCCTGACTTAATAAATTGTGTTGTTATTTTACCAGTGTCATCCATTTATTAACACCCTTTCAAATTGTCTTCTTTTCTATTTGCATTTTATCTTGTTGTCATGTTTTAATGAATATTCAAATTTGATGGATTAAAATTAGATTAACAACTAAATATAGCAATACTGTCATATACTCAGAGTGATATTATCATGTAATAAATGGAATCTCTATTAACCATATGTGGTTTGTAGATATCACAGAATGCTCACATATTTCACAGGGGTATTTCCCAAGCCAGAACCAGATATTCTACTAATCCAGTGCCTATAACCTTCCCTTTATACAGATTGCACTACTACAGTCCAGCTGCTCATAGAATTTAGGCACAGGATGGTACAGTCCTAGTCTATAATCACTTGAAATATCTTTGACACTTGATTTTATTCTAAATATCTTGAGCAGAGTTATTTGCCTGCATACAAAATAATAATTGGGGTGAACAATATTTACTTCTCCCCTTGGTAATTCATGTTCTATCTTTAGGCCCAATCTTTATTTCAGGTCAAGCAAAAATGTCTACTACCCCCTGAAATGGTTTGGCTTTGTGTCCCCACTCAAATCTCATCTTGAATTGTGATCTGCACATGTCAGGTGAGAGACCTGGTGGGAGGCGATTGGATCACAGGGGCAGTTTTCACCATGCCATTCTCATGACAGTAAGTGAGTTCTCATGAGATTTGGTGGTTTTGTAAAGCAACGTTCCCTGCTCTTGCTCACTCCTTCTTACCTGCCACCATGTAAGATGTGCCTCTTCCCCTCCTGCCATGATTGTGAGTTTCCTGAGGCCTCCCTAGCCATGCAAAACTGTGGGTCAATTAAACCTCTTTTCTTTATAAATTACCCATTTGGGGGTATGTCTTTATAGCAGCAGTGTGAAAACAGACTAATATACCCCCAAGGCTCCTCACTAGTACAAATCATAGGGTGTCTTTATATCAAAAAAACAGGGCCGGCCGGGCGCAGTGGCTCACGCCTGTAATCCCAGCACTTTGGAATGCCAAGGCTGGTGGATCATGAGGTCAGGAGATCCAGACCACCCTGGCTAACGCGGTGAAACCTAGTCTCTACTAAAAATACAAAAAAAAAACAAAAAAAACAATTAGTCGGGCGTGGTGGCAGGCGCCTGTAGTCCCAGCTACTCGGGAGGCTGAGACAGGAGAATGGTATGAACCCGGGAGGCAGAGCTTGCAGTGAGCCGAGATTGCGCCACTGCACTCCAGCCTGGGAGACAGAGCGAGACTCTGTCTCAAAAAATAAAAATAAAAATAAAAATAGGGCCACATTACTTGCATTTTTCATCATTATTCCCACCTAGAGTGTATATCTCGTTGTCCATTTAAACATACAATGTTTCTCTGTGTTAGCACTATATTCAGTGTCAATAAAAATGATTGTCATATAACCTGAATCCCCTTTGGCAAAAAAAAGCAATGCAATCGCAGTTCAAATGAAGATAAGCAAAAAGAGGAATTTAATTTGAAGATACAGGGTGTCTCACAGAACTTAAATAAATGCCTGAGATTTAAGAATAAATAGAATCAGGAATATTATGTGTACCCTCATCCCTGCTCCTTTTATAATATGTGGGATGAGCTGGGAAACACCTGGCAAGAGAATAGGTAGGTTTTGATGGCAGCCTTTATCTGACTCCAAGTTCTCTAGGAAGTGTTCAGATTTTTAGGTCTTTTCCCAGGAATGGAAAAGCCATTTGGGCAGCCTAGGGGCTGCCAAAGCACCTGAATATCCTATGAAAATAGCTGGCTTAGGACCTTCTATGTCCTTTCAGAATCCAATCCACACACCTAGGATCAGGGACAGATCCAGCTTAGAAGGGGCCACTCTTAGAGAACCATTTGCATCAGCAGCTGTTAGAAGATATCCCCAAAGCGGTTTATCAAAACTCATCCTCCACCTTTTTCTCCATCAAATATATCCTCCATTTAACTTCTTTCGCTTTCACAGAAACATCAAATTCAGCACAACTAAACAGAATCTTAGAATCTTCACCATTGTCCAGTATCAAACATGTCCTTTTCCTGAGATTCCAACTTCTGCCAATAATGTTGCCATTAACATGTATTAATTTGGCCAAGCTAAAAACATAGGTGACATTATAGGTTAAAAGTTATCCTTCATAACCCCTACTGAGGCACCACGAGTTGTTAATTATATTTACTAAATCCTTCTCCCTTATTATTCCATTTCTTCTCAACTCATTTCCACTACTTATATCAAGGGTAACATGCTCTCTCTGGAATTATTGCAAAGGTTTTACAGTTGGTATCTCTTACCTTTGCTTTGCTCTTCTCCAATCCATTTGCATGGATCCTAGCATATAAGTCTAATCTTTCTACGATGAATAACTGACTATTTCACTACCCTATTTCATATTCCCATTGCTCAGAGTATAGTGCAAACTTCATAGTCTAAAAGCACACCTACATATTTTCTCCAGTTTTACCCATTGCCAAATTCCTCTTATCCAGTTTTTGCATCTGAATTTCACAATCTAAAAGGAATCTGTTTAATTACTTTTAACTTTATGATATGCTTACCCTTGGACAATTGGACACACAGTCTGTCCCTGTTACGTTAATAGCTGTATTACTTTCCCTATCTCCACTTTGTTGTAACTAATTACCACAGGCTAGTATCTTAAAATAGCATAAATATGTTGTCTTATAGCCCAGTAGTTCTCGCTGCCTTAACTCAAGAGGTTGACAGGCAATATTACATTCTGGAGCTTCTAGAGAAGTAGCAATTTCCTTCTTCATTCAGAGCATCTTCCTTGTGGTGGTAGGACTGAGAACATACTAAAAGCTGCTACATTGTTCATTTTAAAAGAGTGAATTGTATGGTATTTGAATTACATTTCAATAAGTCAATTAATAAAAAGTGTTGCTGAGCTGCCTATTTAAATATATAGTAATCAATGTAGACAAATATTTATAATGGGTTAAGAAACCTTTGATGATTGAGTTGCTCATGATGCTTTCCCTCTCTATTAGCACTCTTATTACATTATTTATATACTCTTTCTTGTAATCATTTGGAAGTGTGTTAAAACCTTGAAATACAACTAAAGCATCACTCAGCCCAGCATGTAGCAGAGGTCATGTGAAAATTACTGACCACAGGAGCTCAAAAGATGGCATTGCTTCCTAATCAGAGGGTGAGAAAAGGACACTTAAAGGACATAATGGCTCCCAACCAGAGGAACAAATAAAACCCAATCATGATTTTTTTTTTTTCAAACAGTGAAGGACTGTAAAATGTAAGGCATTGTGGTGGTGACAACGTGGAAGTAATGAGTGTGATACTTTGGAAGCAACATAAACTGGCAACATGACACTTGGGACTTCTGTAGTAATCTCTATATGAGGGGAAAACATGTAACTAAGTTGACAGCTTGAAAATGGAAAATAAGTGATGCCTTCTAGAGAAGTCATGAAGAAATTATTGGCAGCCGTCTACTCTCAGCAATCAATTTCTATGCCCCTATTCAAGATTATGAAATAAGTTGTACAATTAGCATAAAATCTTGCCTCATGTCTAATAAATTACCCATTATGAATGCGTGCAATACTATAAATCACACAGAAAAAAAAGCCGCATCATTTGAATGTTATGACCTAGTTATGTGACTTAACATTTTTCCTCAGGCAAAATAAGTTTTGTGAACTATTACAAAATGACTTTCAGAAGGTTAAAGAAGAAAAGGTCAAGGTGTGAGGGGGCAATTACACCTGTTTGTCCTTCGTTGTACATGAATGGCCCTCCCTGAATTCTCTACACTATAGTATGCATTATTCTACTAAATGACTAATAAATCATTTGCAAAGCTTAAAATTTATTTCCTAGCCTGTAGTTTAAACACAAAGCTCTGAAATGCCACCAGAATGGATGAATGAAACAAAGAGGGACAGAATTTACAAGAAAGGAGTAAAAGAATGTAAAGAGATATGGGCTTGCACTAAAAATTATGTAGTGAAAACATATGGCTGTGTTAAAAGGAAAGTCACTATTTGACATGAGATGAGGTGCAGGGAATTAAGAAAAAAGACAAATGTGTCTCTTAGGTTAAAAGTCATGTTCAAAATGGTATTTTAAAATGGAAGTGGAGTTTAATACTTTTGAGTGGCTAATTCCTGCTGGCAAAGAATAGTCAGAACAGGTGTGTTTGACAGCGAGATCAGTGAAAGAAATAGTTGAAAATGTAACTGGTGATAATTGAACCTGCAGTAGCAATTGACTACAGCCAAGAGTTCTGAGTGCATAAAACGAAAGCCTGGGAAGAATTTAAAAAATTCAAAATCTATCAAAAACAAATTATGTCTTTGGGAGCCCTTTTGATGTCATACCATATTCTTGCTTTTCCTAGGTATTTGTTCTATCATTAACATCATAACGAAGATAAGCGCTTCGCATGTTAATACTTTAAAGTGTCTGTGCAGTTAGTGTGTCCATGTTTTTAATTCATAGTTTAATTTTATGTCTAAACTGCTCCAGGAATCAATTTAATAATCTCATGATGCTCTGGCTTTCATTTTCATTTGTGCCATAGCCCCAGTGTTGACTCATGATCTCAATCTTGACAACTTTAAACAAGTTACTTAACTTCCATGAACCTCTGATTTCCCAGTGATTAAAGGTGACTGCAAATGTGATCATATTATCTCATGATTGGATGTTGTATCACTTACCTGATTCCTGAATCTCCTCCAGAAATTTCCTGTCATTGTGATAATCTTTGTGGAAAACCTCTTACCAATGTACAGTGCAGTTCATATTTGGAGATCCTTAGCTTTAGCAAATTATTTTACAATGATTAATATGATATATTGATTATTAATTGACCACAATAATTGATTAATAATACATTGATACATTAAAAGACATTGATTATTTATCATTGTTTGTAATAAAATATGCAAGTTCAATATCTGTTCCACAGAGAAGGTATTTATGTAACATATGAATGAGCTCTCAAAAATAAATGCCATTAACATGTAAGGTATTATGTTTAAATTCACTTATGAGAAATTAAATTAAAAGGTCAAACTCACGTCAGACTGTGTATTTATTAGACAATCTGCATATTAAAGCCATATCAGTTTTCTCAGAGAACAGCTTTCAAGACTATGCTAAGCTTTCTTCCAGGCGACCTACTGACTGCTAGGACTAGAGTCTACCTCATTCTCTCTACTCATCTAAATTCCAAACATTTATCAAAGATTATATTATTATATACATCCTCTGTCATTTTTTTTTAAATCTGAAGAAATGTCTCTGGGTTTAAGACTTATCAAATTTACTACTAAATTGTAGTTTACCTTTTCTGTTCAGGATGCTAATTCATATTTATAGAACACTTCAGTGTGGATTCCTTTTGAAAAGACTGAGTAAATATATCCTTGCCTCACTGTCCCTGATAACACGTAAGAAAAAACAAAATAAGACAAAATTCAAAATTACACCTTTGGAAAAATAAAAGAACTTTCAGATGCTGAAAATGTATGAAAAGAAGGGTCGTTAAATACAATCACCATTGAACTTGATTAAAGAAATATAGATGCCTTTGTAGATCCGAAACACAATTTCTCTTACTTTAAGAGAAGTCTTCTTTACAGATTTACATTAATTAACCATACTTGGAATACCTACACCAGCCTGTGACAGTGGGCTGCTGAAATATCCCTGATACCTTACTGAAAACATGAAGCGGTAAAAATGTCAGCGCTAATTGAGGACATACTCATCCCCTATCATTGCACAAACATGTTGCAAGTATGAAAAGGCAACAAAAAAATATAGTCATAACCTGTGTACTTGGCTCTTGGTCATAAGAAATAAAATATAGGCTAAATTGCCATATAAGGGATTCTTGACACACAAGATAGATTGTAAGAAAATATTTGAAATATCTTCTTGAAGTCTAAGTGCTTAACTCCTTCATCTTAGCCCCCCAAGTATTATTTAACATACATTGGCCCCCCACACGCTCTCATTTAAAAATAATTTCCCCATGTACAACATACTCTAAGGTAATAAACGTGACAAAATGAAGAAAAATATGCTGAGAATGGCTGCACGTTTGAGATATTTTACCATTAAGTAAAGAACATTTATATAAAGACTTTTGAAACATGTCCAAAAAAGAGGGGTAAAGGATCAAACAGGAGAGGTTAGTACAAAAAGAAGAAAGAAAAATTAAGTCACAGAACTCAGAAAAAAATTAACATACAAAAATACAAAAATGAACAAAGCATAAGAGGAATCAAAATGGAAGAAAGAATATACTGAAACATAATAAAAAGCTTAAAATAAGTCTTGAGGAAAGCAAAGCCAAATAAAATGAAAAATAATAAATAGGTTTTAAGATTAAAAATAGATACAAAATAATTATAAAGAAGGATTCATGCATGCATAATTGGTATACCCTGAGAACAGAAAAAATCTGAAGTTAATATACTAAAATAAAAGAAAGAAAACTATTTTCCCTTGAATCATAAATCTGAATCTATGGATGTAAAGGAAAAACTTTTAAAGAAACTTTGTAGAAAAATGACTAACATCAAAAACTATTCCAATACCTAATTTCTAATTTGGGAAGTTTATGGAAGACTCATATGGTAATCAAAGCCCCCCAAAATACTTTTTTATAAGAAAGAAAAATTACTTTAACTTTTTGTTGTTCTCTCCATAGAAAACTATGTCTATAAGCAAGTACTGGAAAGTCACCAAACACTTTTTTTAAAGGAGAGAAAATGAAATTCTGACACAGAAATTTGATAGCTAGTAGTGTTGCCATTCTATTATCAAGATCACACAGATTACATTTTCTAACATGCACATCTGTGAGGACTAGTGCATGCCTGCATACTTCTAGAAAAATGCTCCTGAAGATGAACTTTAGTCAGTTAAGGTATGAAGTAAATGTTTATTGAATAAAAAAAGAATTGACTGTTATAAAATAATTGAGTATTAAAATACATAAAAGTTAATAAACACTGTTTATTCAATCACTGAGAAAAGGTTATCCAAATTTAATGTAATCCAAATACACGTATACACACATAATTTAGAAATAATGTATTTGTGATTAGATAACAACCATCACTGAATGCATTTTTTTAAATGTTCTCTTTCCTCTGCCTACAAAAAAATGAGTCCCTTACACTTGTTTTTTAATTGGAAACATGCCTAACTATTTCCTGGTAATTTGCAACAAACACTATCCAAAATAAAATAAGAAAAAAACTGGAGATGCATAAGTTAATGAGGAAGTGAAAAAAGATAGGTACATGGATTGGCCTTGGAGAGAAGTTTGGTTTAAAAGAGGAAAACAAAGGATAATGGAAAAATGATCTGTGAATAAAAGAGAAAAGTACCAAGAAGTTTGGTAAACATAGGTGCTTACGGTAGGTGTGGAAGTGTGATAGAAGTTGATGGTGGATAAAGGAACATTCTCAGAACTGTTGTTATATCCTGTGAAGTTACGTTTGTTTTGTGGGGTTTGAAAAATACAAATAAAAAATTCTGTAATGTTTACATTATTTTTTAAAGACTAGGCCATGTTATCATCATTGTTTAACTGTGAAAGAAGAACAAATACACTTGACAACTTGAGTCCTGGCTTTAATCTGATTACATAATTACAAATAACTTAGGAGTGTAGTTGAATGTGCAAAATGCAAGTCATTGCTGGAGTACTGAAAGTGATCTGATAGTTCTCATGTTCCACTTCTAGAGGGTCAATCGCTTTTGTTAAAACTCAAAAATTAAATAATAGAATTTTAGATAATTGTTTGAAGATGAGGAGATAATCATTAGAAGTATTCAGAATAATACTGAAAAGGATCAAACTGGACTTTAGATTGGAAAAGTAGAATTAGAAGGACGTTATTAGAAAGGCTGATATTCAGCTGGTTTGCAGCATTATGGTGTGCCAGTTGTTATTTTTTGTAAATGCACCGTGCTAATTTCATCCCTTTTATAAACACAGCCACCCTAGCATCTGCTGTAGGACTCCTTGTCCCTCTATGATCTGGTAGCTAAAGGGGAATGATAAGGTTTGGCTCTGTCTCCCCACCCAAATCTCATCTCCAATTGTAATTCCCAGGTATCGAGGGAGTGGCCTGGTGGGAGAGCTGATTGAATAGTGGGGGTAGACTTCCCCCTTGCTGTTCTCATGATAGTGAGTGACTTCTCATGAAATCTGTTTGTTTGAAAGTGTGTGGCAAATCCCCCTTCACGCTCTCTCTCCTGCTCTGCCATGGTAAGATGTGCTTGTTTCCCCTTCCACCGTAATGATAAGTTGCCTGAGGTCTCCCTGTCATGCTTCCTGTTAAGCCTGCAGAACTTTCTTTCAACTAAACCTCTTTTCTTCATAAATTATCCAGTCTCAGGTAGTTCTTTATGACAGTGTGAGAACAGACTAATACAGGGATCCTGCTCCAGAACTATAGCAGACATCCCATATACTGACTGTTTAATGTCTAGATCAAAGCAGTTTTAAAGATTTAGAGTAATACTCTTGGGTGTAAAAATACAAATACCCTCATTTTCAGAGCAGAAGATCTGTAGATCTCTTATAAGATTGATGATTAAATATATGTTTATGAAGTAATAGACTGTAGAGTACCTATATTATTATAATGAAAACAAGTACATACATTCAGAACTTCAAAATTTTCACAGCATTTTCATTTGCATTATGTTACGTGATCCTGAGAAAAAACTTTTGAGGACAGTTAAAATGCATTAATAGATGCAGAGCTGAGATTAGAATCCAAGATTTAGTGGCACTTCAGTCGGAGAACATTGGACCCATTCCCACTCAAAAAGTGAAGATAGTTTTAAAGGAAAAGGAAAGCTGAAAACAACATAAAAGACAAAACTACCCTGAACAGGGAAAACCTTGCCTGTCGCATTTTATCTCCCTCATACAACAGACTGATGTATTAGGTACCACGTTTCATAGACTTTGAAATTCTCAGCAGTGATTAGCTCAGTAGATATTCAAATATGTGTTGATGATTTATAAATAGTATTCTTTTATGGCATGTGCATTTATTTTAGCTATCATTTAAGAGAAGACATAGTAAATTCAATGGTTTGTTTTCTATGTTCACATGCACATACACACAAACTCTCACCATACAAACACATATACACACAAAATAAATAGCTATATGAGGTGATGAATATATTCATTAGCTTGATTGTTGCAATCACTTCACAATGTACACATAGAGTAAAACATCACATTGTACACTATATAAATACACACAATTTTTATTTTTCAATTACACCTCAGTAAAGCTGGGAGAAAACAGGAAAGTTGGCCATGCTTTGTGAGAAAACAGAATTATAATTTCAAAGGTAATTTTCTCTTCAAACTCTGAGACTCTGCCATCAAAGTCATGTGCCATGTCTTAGGTATCTCCAGATTCTCTTCGTTCTCTTCAGTGTATCTTCAGCGTCTAGCTTGCTTCTGCTTGGAATTCATCCCTCTTTCCAAATCTTCCTCAGAATGATGCAAAGTATATTTCCTATAAAATTATATATACAGAAGCAACTCTGAAACTGTAAAACATTGTGAAGGGTCTATATGAATAGCAATTACTTCACCATTTAGCTGTTTACTTTTTGATCACACAGATTATTTACCCAGACAGTAAGAATCATCATTTTGTGGACCCATTGGCTCTCCTAAATGAGCCATAGATAAGCTTGGATACACTGTGAATTTTCCTGAGAACTGAAAGTATATAAAACACATCTGGAGTATTCAGTGAGATCTCAAACATCACTGATCAACTTATTTAAAGTATTCATCTAAGAATGAGATCAGAATCGTAGCTCTCATAGGAAAATAAGCTCCTTGTCTGTTTTTCCTCATCTTTAGGTATTTCTTCAAAATGAGAACTCAGTGCACAGTATTAGAAAATGCAAAAGCAAGAGACCTCTTAGAAGTAGTGGCAAAATAGTACGGTACTTTCTTTTAGGCAAGATATTTCAAACATATCCTTCAATGAAAGTGAGTAAAATATAGCTCTAGCTAATTACAGTTTTTTTCATAAGCACATTGGGATATCAAATGAAGTAAAAAAAAAAAAAAAGAAAAAATACATTTTTAGAAACAACGAGAAAGGTTTACGAATGTTATAGGTGTTTAAAACAAAGATTTGCAATGAAAAAGAAAATGCATGTCCTTGTTTGGGCCTCCCTGCCTTATGTGGATATCGGCAGTAAAATCTGTGCCTCTGGTGGAGATTTTCCTTACTATAATGTGAGATTGGGTATGTGGATTTACCATATGAGGAATTATAAACATTGATTCTTCTAATCATGTGAGCACAACCTAAGAGACTTTGCATCTGTCTTTTTACCTTTCACTTTGGAAAGCGATTATAAAACCTATCATATTTTTGAAAGAAAGAAATAGCTGGCTGAACAGTTCTTATCCATAACAAATGTATTTTAAAGTAGCAAAGACGGGATGTTCTAGAAAATGATTTTTAATGTCAGCTAAATGTTCCAAATAATGTTGTTATTTGAACCCTTTTATTTTTTTAAAGGCCTGAATATCAGTAAGCTAGTTTAGCTTCTATTAAAGTACTTATTAACTTCATTGTAATTATTATTTCACCATCATAACATATCAACTATCACTAGCACCAAGGAGCCGACTGTGCCAGAAGGAGGCATGCCATGCTACAGTCTCTGTAAAACTCCCCATTGTACCCTATTGCCCCTTTAACATTTCATAGGGCTATATGTAGCTGTTAAATTATTCAAGCCACCTCCGTTTCTTGAACATCACGTCTTTTTTTATATGAGTTTTTTCAAAGGGCCTGAAATGTGGTGGTCTACAGGAAAGCCGATGCTGCATTAAGATGCATGAGCTGAACTCAGGAGGAACTGACAGTCTTTCCAGAGTATTAAACTGGCACGCTCTTTGTATAGGGAAGAAGATGCTGCACTGGGAAAACAATAACATATCCAATAAAGAATTGCTTTTCCAAGCCAATTTAGTACAATCTTCTCTGATAAAGTCATACAGATATTTGTCTTTTACATATTTTCTGTAAAATGTTTTTTTGTTTATTTTAGACTATATTATAACCTAGAAAGACTTGTCTCCTGTGGCTCTTCTTAGTGTCTCCTGCAGAATTGCAGTGTTGGCTGTTTGGCTGTAGTGAGCATGCCTTTTGTAATAATATGCTTTTAAGCTAGAACTAAATTAAAATCAATTGGAAATTTGAGTTCTGAGGTTAGTCAAAACATTGAAGAAGGTAGGATCTAAACCAAAATTTAATAAGTGCCTACTAAGTGTCAAAGAGGCTACTGCACACTCAGTTAACTTTTATGGCAAATTATTTCTCAAACAGTCTTCAGAAAGATAGTTGATCAAAATTATTACATCATAGACAAGGAGTCTGAGGCTCAAAGTGGCAAATTTCTTGTTCAAATCATACAACAATTAGGTGGCAGAGCTGGAAATAAACATTATGCTTGCCTACTGAAGACCTGTATATATTTTCTCCACTCGTTCTTTTGTGCTCATTTTCACCATTAGTACTGCAAATCGGATGCATAGAAAGCTAATTAAAACATTCCTAAGCAGGTTATTCATTTATAGTGGATCTGTCCAGACCCAGGCTTCGTTATAAATAATGTAATTACAAGTCTAAATGGTAATGACAATGGGCAGTGACTGTCCAATATTTTCAACTTATGTCCTAATATTGTTTATACTAATCAAAAACACAAATAAATATATCAACATGTTTCAAGCACAGGGAACTTATTTTTAAATATATAATCAATGAGAATTTGTTGAATGAATTAATGAACTATAAAATGCTACACTATAAGGTGTTATATAATTTCACTGATAACATTAGCAAACAATTTAAAATGATAATATTAGTAAGCATTTGTTGAGAGTATAAGTAGGTAAAGCCTTTCTAGAAAGGAATTTATCAATATTTATCAAAATACTTAAAAATGTCTTTGCCCTTTGCCGATATAAATCCACTTACAGGAGGAGTCTACTGTAAGTGATCAATGTTAAATACTGCTATGGTCTGAATGTGTCCGACAAAGTACATGTATTGGAAACTTAATCCCCAATCAACAATGTTGAGAGGTGAGGTTTTTAAGAGGTGATGTCTTCATTAGGCCAGAGCCCTCATGAATGAATTAATGCCATTATCTTGGGAGTGGGCTAGTTACTGCAAGAGTACTTTTCTGATAAAAGGATGAGGCCCCTTTCTCATTTTCGTGGACTCTCTTGGCTTTTTACCTTCAGCCATAGGATGACATAGTAAGAAGACCCTTACCAGATTCAGGCCCCTCAACCTTGGACTTCCCAGCCTCCAGAAATATAAGAAATAAATATTTTATTTCCTTTTTTGGTAAATTACCCAGTGTATTTTATTCTATCATATCATCACAAAATGGACTAAGACAAATACATAAGTGTTTATACACAAAGCAGTTCTTCAATCTTATATCTATAATAACTAACCTATTTATAGAGAAATGTTCAGTAGCATGAATTTAAAAGCCATATTAAAGGTACATTTAAAGAAGATACCTTTATATGATGACATTGAGAGATAAATAAGAAACAGAAATTGTATATATGTTGACAGCACTACTTTTTATAATATAAATACTTTTAAGCTATTCATCACAAAAATAAATAAAATTTATATTTTTAAAATACTATTGACACATATTTGCATCAATGTTACTCACTCATCACATACTTTGAATGCCAATTGTGTGCGAATACTTTAGATCTTGGAGATAGGAAATTTGAGCAAAATCGACAAGGTGCCTGCTGTCATCGAGATTGCATGATATCAGTTGTAAATAGGCAGTAATCAAATAAGAAGAAAATAAACAGTACATCAGATAGTGATATGTGCTATTGAGTAAAATAAATCTATGTGTTATTTGGGAAGGCAATTACTAGAGGTATGTACACAGGGGAGCTATTTCCTAAAGTATTATCAAGAAAGATTTTATTGATTAATTTTTAGGCATAATTGAAGGGAATGAACAAGCTATGCAACTATCTGGGCAAATAGTATTCTAGGTAGAGAAAGCAGCAAGTGCAAAAGGCTTGCTTTTAGAGCTTACTTGTCTAGGGAAAGCAAGAAGAATATTGTGGCTGAAACTCTGACACAATGTCAGAGGAGTAAAGAAAATCCACATCATAGAGAGCCTCTGAGTAGAATAGATAGCCACTGGAGAATTTTCGGTAGAACAGTACCCTGATGACTTTTTTTAAATGTTATATTAGAAGCCTGACATTGGCTTCTGTGTGAAGAATAGTCAGCCTAGAGGCCACAAGTAAGAAAGAGGAAAACAAAAAAGGAGAATAATACAATACACACAAGAGAGATGACAGAGCCTTATACCAGAGGTGTAAGAGTGGAGAAGAGAGGTGGTTAAATTTTGGATGTGTTGGGAGAAAAAAACTCATTAATTGACTTCATCTGAGCTCCTTTTCTGATTATTACTGTATAGTGTATGTAAAGCCAATAGTTAAGAGTAACTCAGGCATTATGAATCAGATTCTTCCAAGTATTAGCTACGATCTGTTTCTCTTGCCTCTGAGGACTACCTGTCTCAATCATTACTTGCAGTTAGGTTGAGGAATGTGATAGAGTTTTATCCAATCATACATAAGTGGAAGTGATGTTATGTCATTTATTGTTTTCACCATAAACCCACATACATGATCTTTCACTCTCTTCACTTATATGCCATATGGAACCAGACCTAGATGATAACAGAATAACAGAGTTACTGAATAGTAGTCTTTCTCACCCATGATCAACTAGTATTACTGTAAAGTGAGAGAGTAATAAACCATATTATATGAAGACACTGAAATTTAGGATTATTTGTCATAGCAGTTCACCTATCCTGATAATTGTAATATTATACTATAAATATGCTTGGAAAAAAAATCTACAAATAATGAATCAGCTGCTACTAAGTACCCCAGATCACTGTTTTGTCCCCACTGATGTTTCATTTAATACTTCTTAACTGTCTAGTTTTATTGGAAAAATTGTCTAAGCAACTGCATATAATCATATTTGGCCTTTTTTTTTTTTTTGATTTTTTGAGATGGAGTCTCACTCTGTCACCAGGCTGGAGTCCAGTGGCACAATCTTGGCTCACTGCAACCTCTGCCTCCCGGGTTCAAGTGATTCTCCTGCCTCAGCTTCCCGAGTAGCTGGGAGTATAGGTGCATGCCGCCATGCTCGGCTAATTTCTTTTTTTTTGTATTTTTAGTGGGACACGGTTTCACCATGTTGGCCAGGATGGTCTTGATCTCTTGACCTCGTGATCCACCCACCTCAGCCTTCCAAAGTGCTGGGATTACAGGCGTGAGCCACCGCGCCCGGTCTGGGCCATCGTTTTAATCTTCATATGAAGAACTTGTTTAGTGGGAAAATAGCTTAGGAAATTTAACATAGTCAACAACCATCAATATATATTATTCATTCATATTTTTAAATGAAGAAATAGTAATTATACTTATCTCATTTTGGCGGCAAATATGTAACACACCTTGAGAAATTAAAAATATTGATTTTGAAATTAGGCAGATGAGGCCTCTAATCATTTCTCAATCTACTACAATCTATTTCTGCACCCTGAATTGCTTTTGCAGTGCCATCATTAGTATTCATATTTGCTTTTCATTTTTAATCTTGCTTGAAATATAAGGCAGAATTTGATGCTTATGATTCTTCCCTCATCCCCAGACATGTTTGTCCCTGCTTTTCTATTTAACAGATTCCTCCTTCCCAATCTCATTAATAATTCTTTCCTCTTCACTTCATCTTTAAATGATTATCTCCTTCAGCACTCTACCCCAATTCCTCACCCACTCACAAACTTCCATTATAATCTATAAGCCAGTTGTTTAAAATATATACTTGCACCTCATACTTCTATCATGACATACCAGACCATTCACACAGCTGCCTATTTTAATATATTTTCATAAATGAATCCAGACAACTTAATCTCAGTACGTCCAAAACTGAGTTCCACATCTTGCCCCCACTTGCTTCTTCAATTATGCTAAACAGTTCAATGGAAAGTGTAAATATCTTTTATACAATTTCCAAGTTTTTTAAACAACGCCACTCCTATTCAACTTTTTTTTTCTGGAAAATAAAGGAGGATGAAACACTTCAAATCCTGTTTTATGAAGCCAGCATTTTCAGGGTCCTATAACCAAATGAACACACACACACACACACACACACACACACACACACACACACACTGTATTAGTCTATTCTCACATTGCTATAAAGAACTACCTGAGACTGAGTAACTTATAAAGAAAAGAGGTTTAACTGGCTCACAGTTCCACAGGCTGTACAGGAAGCACAGCTGGGGAGGCCTCAGGAAACTTAATCATGGCAGAAGGTGAAGGGGAAGCAGGTACATCTGCATGATGGCTGGAGCAGGAGAAAGAAAGCCACGGGGAAGGTGCCATACACTTTTAAACAACCAGATCTTATGAGAACTGTATCACGAGAGAGCACTATGGAGATGGTGTTAAATCATTAGAAACCACCTCCATGTTTCAGTTACCTCCCACCAGGCCCAACCTTCAACACTGGGGATTACAATTTAACATGGGACTGGGTGGGAGCATAGAGTCAAACCATATTGTGCACACATACAACTAAACTAAATATTCTACTCTAATTCATTAAAGATAAAAGAAAACCTCTCATTAGACTAGAAATAAAAGTAAACTTTCTTAAACTGATATAGGGCATTGATGTACCTACAAATAACATCTTATTTAATGGAGCAAGACAAAATACTCAGCTCTAGTACAACTACATGGTCCTTTTGGCTTCTCACAGGAACAGATAGGGTCTTATAGATGTGCCTATTAAGGCTATAACAGATTTCTGGTAAAATAGCTCATGTATGATTGGAGGGATTTACATCCCTGAGGAAAAACCTGAATATTCATATAAAAAAAATGGCAAATGATTTTTGTAATTGGTCTTCACCATGTCATAAACAAGTCTTGATTGACCTTGCATAGTTTTGGTTCTAAGGCACAGGCATCCATCTTCTGAAGTGAAAAAATGCCACTTCTAGAGAAAAATAACTTTTTTTATTAACAAATATTCACACTTTTGTATGAAATGAAGGTTGTGTGGGGAATACAAAAATACTTTTTATAATTTGAGCATAAATGTGTGTAAAGAATGTATAAAACCTATGGTTTGTGTTCAAATTTTTCTTCTCACTTCCACTAAAAGAACCAAACTATTGTCTTTTTCAGAAAGCATAGCAATCTTGTTTATCAGATCCTAAAACAGCAACATCAAGTTGAATGAAATATTTATACTTTCCATTGAACTATTTAGCATAATTGAAGAAGCAGGTAGGGGCAAGATGTGGAACTCAGTTTTGGAATACGGAGACTAAATTGTCTTGATTCATCTATAAAAATATATTAAATAGACAGCTGTGTGTATAGTTTGGGATGTCATGATAAAAGTACATGGTGCAAGAGTATATTTTAAACCACTAGCTTACAGATTATAATGGAAGTTTGTGAGTGGGTGAGGAATTGGGGTTGAGTGCTGAAGAACATAATCGTTTAAAGATTAAGTAGAGGGCCGGGCGCAGTGGCTCACACCTGCAATCCCAGCACTTTGGGAGGCCAAGGCGGGCGGATCAAGAGGTCAGGAGATCGAGACCATCCTGCTTAACACATGGTGAAACCCCGTCTCTACCAAAAATACAAAAAATTAGCCGGGCGTGGTGGCGGGCGCCTGTAGTCCCAACTACTCGGAGGCTGAGGCAGGAGAATGCCGTGAACCCGGGAGGCGGAGCTTGCAGTGAGCTGAGAGCGCGCCACTGCACTCCAGCCTGGGCGACAGAGCGAGACCCTGTTTAAAAAAAAAAAAAAAAAAAAAAAAAAAAAAAAAAAAAAAAAAAAAAAATTATGTAGAAAGGAAAGAATTATCAATGATATTGAGAAGGAGGAAACTGTTAAATAGAAAATAAGGGACAAAAATATCTGGTCATGCAGTGAGGGGGATGAGAAAAGAATCACAAGCAGCAGATTTGGAGACTGGATTTGGTTGGAGATTCCAGTTAAAATGAGGAGTGTAAAATGAGAAGGTTCTAAATTTTAAAGACAATTTCTTTAAAATGATATTGGGATATTCTTTTTTTTATTTCTTCAGCCAACTTTGATAATGTTTGCATTCAAATAATTTGTCCATTTTGTCTAGGTATACCACTTGTCTATGATGAAGATTTGTAAAACATTATCCTAATTATACATTTGATATCTATTTTATCTGCAGTATTGAACCCGCTGTCATTCCTGCCATTGGTTATTTGTTCCTTCTCATTCTCTTTTTCAGGCTAGCTAGAGGTTTATCAATTTTAATAGTATTCTAAAACACCAAGTTATTTTTCCATCGATTTTTCTCTATTGCTTGCCTGCTGTTTAATAAATTGAATTTCTCCTTTATTGTTAATATTTCACTCATTTTACTTACATTAAGTTTAATTTTTTTCTTCAAGGAAATTTACATAATATATAATGTTTTGTTGTTGTTTTGAGACTGAGTCTCGCTGTATCACCCAGGCTGGAGTGCAGTGGCGCGATATTGGCTCACGGCAACCTCTGCCTCCTGAGTTCAAGCTGTTCTCCTGTCTCAGCCTCCCGGGTAGCTGGAATTACAAGCGTGCACCACTATGCCCAGCTAACTTTTGTATTTTTAGTAGAGATGAGGTTTCACCATGTTGGCCAGGCTGGTCTCGAACTCCTGACCTCAAGTGATCCACCCCCCTCAGCCTCCCAAAGTTCTGGGATTAGAGGCGTAAGCCATCGCACCTGGCCACTTTTATGTATCATGTTTTCATTTTCCATTTATCATAAAATACTAATTTACCTTGTGGTTTCCTATAATACTTATTATGAAAAACATTACACAAGGTATGTATATTTGGATAATTTTGAGATATTTTTCTATAATTATTTATACATATTAACACTTATACATATTAAGCATATATTCTTTGTTTTTAATCCTTATAAAATTATTGAGGCTTATTTTAGTGCATAACGGGATATATTCCGTCAAAATTCCATGGATACCTGAGCAGTGTTTATTCTCCTGTTTTCAGGTGTAGTATTTATAAATGTAAATTTCATCAAGTAGGTTGATGGGTTGATGGTATTAAGTCTTCTATATTCCTATTAATTTTTCTTCCTTCCTTGGGATTAAAAATATTTTTAGAATTTCTTATGATATTGGCTTATTAGGTATACCTTTTAAGGAATATGTAGTGATTATTGTAGAATTTGTCATATGCATTTTTGACTTATAAAATATATCTTTAACAATTGTTATACTAATTTACATATAATCTATTAAGCTAACAAAAGTTACTTTTATTTTTTCCCCATTTTTGTACTAGTTATCCTAGATTTCGCTACGTTATAAAACTCAAAAATATATTTTTAGTAATTTTGTTTTAAATATTTAATATTTTAATTTAGAAAATGAGAATAAATTAATTTGTACTCACCCTCACATTTTATATTTCCAGTACTCTTCGTTTTTATAATTCTAAATTTATATCTTGTGTGTTTTTTTATCTAAAATGTTTCCCTTAACATTTTTTTTATGATACACTTTCACTGGGGGAAATTATATTACTTTTGTTTTATAATGTTAAAAAGTCTCTCTTTTATGCTCCTTTTAGAAAGATATTTTTCCAGGGTACAGAATTCTATGTAGACAGATTTTCTCTAATGTTTTAGGAATACCATTCCATCATCTTCTGGCCTGTGTAGCTTCTGGGGGGGTCTTAAATCTGTTTCTTTGTAACTAACATGTCTAATCTTATTAAACTCTTTATGTTATTTTTCTTTATCACTGGCTTTCAACAATTTGATTATTATATGCCTTGTTATGGTTTTATTTGTATTTATTCACTTTCTTTTTCATGGAGATAATTGCGTCCGTGGCTTTACTGATTAAACAAATTTGGAAAATTCTTATTCTTTCTTTAAACGTTTTTTCCCCAGTCCTCTTTATTTCTTCTGGATTTCCAATTGCATGTGTGTAAAACAGGTTGATATTTTTCATCTAATCAACAGGGATTTGTTCATATTTGCTTTTTAGTCTTTTCTACTTTAGCGTGATTTTAAAAAATTGTTTCTATTGTTTTATTTACATGTTCAGCGATCTTCTGCAATGCCTAGGATGCTATTTATCTCATTTTATAAAATATTCACTTCAGGTTGTGTTTTTCAATTCCAGAAAAATTTCATCTTAATTCTAGAAATCCTATTTGGTTCTTTTTCCTGTCTTTCATTACTTTGCTCATTATAATCATGTTATCTTTTACATAATTGGGCCTATGAAACATATTTACAGTAACTGTAAATTTATCTGCCAGTTTTATCATGTCTTTTTTTTTTTGAGAGCTTCTGTCTTTTGACTAAGTTATCTTTTTGTTTTAGGTCTTTTTTTGTGTAGTCATGTGTCTACTAGCTTTAATTTGGATGCCATGTATTGTGAAGTTTATATTGATAAATTCTAGAATTTTTGTATTTTTAGAAGAGTGTTAGAGTTTAACAGTTAAATTAATTTTGAACAAATTTAATTTCATGAGCCTAGTTTTTAAGATTTTAGGACATATTTAGAGTAGGCTTTACTTTAGATTTAGTTTATTCTCATGTCCAAGTGGATTATTCCTAAGCTATTTACTGATTGTCCTGTGTATTCAAAGAACCCTCTTCAAAATGGATATAAGAAAGAGAAATATTCCTCATTTTTGTATGAGCTATGGAGACTATGCATTTTGTTTGTAGCTTTCTGATATTGATTGGTTCTTTCCTAATAATTTATTCCTAGCTGAACCACATGGGTTTTAATTTCAAGCTTTTAAAATATTATTCAACTGAAGAGATAACATGATTCCATATAAGATTTTTAGACCTCCTTTTCTGCTCCTACCTTGCTGCAAATATGACCCATAAATTCTAGACAGCTAAGTATTTCCTAACCCTGAACTCTTGCCTTCTCAACCAAGTGAGAATGCCAAGTTTTGACTGGGTTCCTTTCCCAGACTCACATTCTAAAAATTGGTTGTAGACAGCCAGCCAGAGTGATCATAGGGCTCATCTCACTATTTTCCCTCTTTCAGGGGTCACAATTGTATGTTGCATATTAGCTGGTGTAGGCAGATCCAGCTGCTTGATATTCCATGGCCCCAATGACATCTTTAATTGATGTCTCTTATCTAATCCATTAACAACTGAATAGACATGATTAAATGTTTATGATATTCATCTTTCAAGAATTTATCCAAATTCTTGTCCTTATCCAAAGTCCATAATTCTTACGTGGTTACAATAATATTTCTTCAGTCCACTTCTATACCTAAATTTTGTATAATTTTGTGAGTCATACTTTTACCATAGCATTTTTCACTTTTTTCTGTATGACATACGTTTGTCTTTTCCTTCATGTATGTGGATTCTAAGCATGTGTTTTATCCACCCATTACCCTTTAGTACCCACATTCAACTAGCTAACTCTTATTCAATATTTCCAAATCTCCAATTAAAGTTTTATCAATGTAGAATGTCCCATGTTCCCAGGAACATTAGAGGAGTGGAGTGCTGGTAAATTTAGTAAATACCACCCTGATTGTGGGGAGAAGAGATGGCTGATTGCTTTCATTCACCAGTTTACATATTATAGATATGCACACTACCATGATTTTAAGCTATCAGTGTGAAATCACTGAATGTAGGGTTTGGAATAGGTATACTAAATCAACTATTTAGAGCCAATATGAGCCAGCTTTAATACAGCATTGCATTAATATTTCTACTTACAAACTTTCATAAATGCAGGGAAGAATAAAAAACTGTACAATTATTGTCATTTTAAATAAATGAAACCCTTGGATGAGTACCATAATTTCTAGTGACAAACAACAGAGACTGTAAATATTTATGAAGTGTGGAGAACTGTATCAGAAAGACAAATGCACTATCCATTCAAAACACATCTTCAGTATTGTCACTTTTGTGGTAACTGACTTGGAAAGATATTAGGGCTCTAAAGTCATATCTTCACTGAATGACAGAAAGTATACTTCATTTTAATGGTCACAAATATGACATGGATCAAATTTAATGAGTAAATTGTCAGCAAAAAAGGGCAGAAGATGCTAATGGTAATTCTATTGATAAGTAGGTAAAAATGATTGTGACAAAGTGGTAATTTTGTAACCTCAATCACTCATTTTACTTGAGCTCATCAAAGGTGTAAAGAAAAATAACACAAATATGAGAAAATATTGGAAATGCTTCATCACAGAAAGTACCTCAAGAGGCAAATATTGAGAAATAAGGAATCGTGTTTCAAACTAGCTTAAGATTCTGCATTTAAAAAATAGATTTTGGAAAGATTTTGAGATAATGGCAATGGAAATAGAATACATTTAAGCTTTCTAATTTAAGATACACTCAGGCTTAGAAAATTGAAAATATACAGCAATAATTTCTAAATACTCATTATTCTCATATCATATATGCATGTATGTTTATACAGATACATATGTACGTATATAGGAACGTGCATAATTACATATCTATACCTTGAAATGTAAATAGGTGTGTGTGATTTTATGTGTGTATATAAACATATCCATATATGTTTCTACCTATATATTTATATTAAATAAATGAGTTCATAATTGTATCTCCATTTCCAATTAAGCATAATAACTTTTGTTCTAGCCTTCCCTCTTTCTATATTTAAAATTCCCTACTAAAGATGTGAATCCTGGCTTTCATCAACAATATATTTACTCATTCTCCCAGTTTCAGAATATACATAGAGTATTTCTGAAATTGCTTCATAGCCCTTAGGATGTGTACAGTCAAACCACTATTTTCAAGTTACTTAGGTTATTTCTTCCTCCCTACACTTAGTTTCATTTGCTTTGTTTGTTCTCAATTTTGTTCTATCTAACCTATCATTGTTGATTTTGATTGTTTTCAAATATGTGAAATTTTACCATGGTTCTAAAAATGAAACATATATAGAAAGTTATACATTAAAAATTATCCTCCTTTTTCTTCCTGTTCCCATCATCCTATCTTCCCTTCTACCCTGTTTCCATCATCCCATGCCTTCAATACCATTCCTTTCTACTCTTTGCATCTAAACCAACTTCATTGTTTTCTTTAATTAATCCTTTCTGTGTTTCTTGTACAAATGAGAAGATACACTGTATGTTTCTAAATTTTCTTTTGTACTTACAGAAACTAGTATAGTATAAATATACTTTGAATTTCATTTATGAAATGATTATTATTGTGACAAGTGGCCATGTTTAGTTATGATCAATATTTAGTAACAGTATTCTTTTATTTAAAAGTTAATTTTCTGATGGTAGAAATTTTACTGTGGTTATATAAAAGAAAATACTCATTTTAGTAAATATATATTGATTGATCATATGACAAATGGGCATGTGTCTGTAACTTACTCAAATAATTCAGAAATATAATGCATAATAGTAATTTGTATATTTATAACAAGTGTATATACATAATATACACAGAACATTTTAAAATTTTCTAAATAACCAAAAAAACAGATCTAAAGGAAAAGAAAATACATTATAAAAGACTAGACTATTCATACTAAATAGAAAAATTATACAGAATTGAGTTCAAACATATCAATAAATGTCCTTAACCAGCCTATTTAAAAAAAGTTGAAAATGAAAGGATCAACAAAGGCATAACAGACAATATAAACATACTTTAAAAAGCAGAAGTCACAGTCTTTCTATTTGACTAAATAGAATTCACACAAAAAAGGATTTAAACAGAAAAAGTTATGCTATCAGATCATGTCATGTCATGCTATCACATGACAACACTTATTAATATGTATGCACACAGTAATAAAGCCATAACTTTCATAAAACAGAAGTACAGCAGATTCAAGAAAAATAGAAATACAGTAATAAGAAACTTTATTAAACCTTCTCAATGAAGTCATATTAAATGTACAAAATAAACCAGTAAAAATTATAAGAACCATAATTGATATGAAAGATGGCTCACGCCTGTAATCCCAGCACTTTGGGGAGCCGAGATGGGCAGATCATGAGATCAGGAGATCGAGACCATCCTGGCTAACACAGTGAAACCCCGACTCTACTAAAAATATACATCATACATTTAGAACAAGTTGATTAAAATTTAGATGACAAAGAAACATGCAATAAATTTAAAATCATATAAATAGTCCAAACAGCATTTTTATCATAATGCATTAAAATTGTAAATTAATAACAAAGTTAAAAACCCTTCCACCTGTTATTTTTTAAATGTAGTTTTTAAAACTTGGGTCAAAAAAGAAATTTAAAAAATAAGATGTCAGACTTTCTTGAATTTAGTGGTAATGAAAACATGATATATTAAAGAGCATTTATCTACATAAGTACTTCTATTAGTAAAAGTAAAAAAAAACATTAATTAAACACCAATCTAAAAAACAAAGGGAAATAATACAATAGAAAACCAAAGGGAACAGAAGCAAGGAATTAATGAAGATGAAAATATATAAAACATAAGAAAACAAAAATAAGGAAAGTTTAGAATAAATAAATAGTATTGATATATTTTGGAAATTAAAATAGAGAATGTCTATTTAAATTTGAATTTCAGATGAGCAACAGGTAATTTTAGTATAGGTTTGCCCCATGTAATATTTGGAACAATTTTATACTAAAAAATTATATGTTATAGGAATTACATGTCGTTTTTCAGTGTTTACTTTTTGAAATACAAATTTAACTGGGTAATCTGTAATTTGCCTGACAACCTAATATAAATCCAAAAATCAATTAATTTTTAAGAAATTCTGCAAACTCAACAAATCACTAGCAAATTCAAAAAAGAAAATAATTAGCTCTTCTTGTTGCATTGATCCCTTTACCACTATGTAATGCTTTTCTTTGTCTTTTTTGATTTTTGTTGGTTTGAAGTCTGTTTTATCAGAGACTAGGATTGCAACTCCTGCTTTTTTTTTTTTTTTTTGCTTTCCATTTGCATGGTAAATATTTCTCCATCCTGTTTTTTTGAGCCTGCGTGTGCCTTTGCACATGAGATGGGTCTCCTGAATATAGCACACCAATGGGTTTTGACTCTACACAATTTGCCAGTCTGTGTCTTTTAATTGGGGCATTTAGCCTGTTTACATTTAAGGTTAATATCATTATGTGTGAATTTGATCCTGTCTTTATGATGCTAGCTGGTTAGAAAATGTGGCCCATATACACCGTGGAATGCTATGCAGCCATAAAAAAGGATGAGTTCATGTCCTTTGCAGAGACATGGATGAAGCCGGAAATCATCATTCTCAGCAAATTAACACAAGAACAGAAAACCAAACAGCGCATGTTCTCACTCATAAGCGGGAGTTGAACAATGAGAACACATGGGCAGAGGGAGGGGAACATCACACACCGGGGCCTGTTGTGGGGGTTGGGGGCTAGGGGAGGGATAGCATTAGGAGAAATATCTAATGTAGATGATGGGTTGATGGGTGCAGTAAACCACTATGGCACCTGTATACCTATGTAACAAACCTGCACGTTCTGTACATGTATGTCACAACTTCAAGTGTTAAAAAAAAAAAAAGAAAAAGAAAATAAACTACAAGATAGAAACTTGAAATTGGCAAAAAGGGATAGCAATCAAAAAGAAGAAATTATAATATTATAAATTTACTTTTACAATCTAACTAAACAGTAATTTTTAAAGAATGGTGAAACCATCCAAAATTTACTTCAGTAGTGACAGAAAATCTAAACAGGCCAAATGCCATATAAAAGAAGACAATGGGAAAAGAAATAACAAATCTAAATAAACATAATACTGTAATAGAATTCAAGTTTTAAAAAAATGCAGCCCCAACATAAATCACCAGACTCAGAAAACTTCACAGAATTCTACCAAATCTTTAAGAATAATATAGTATTAAAGCTACCTAAATCATCCAGAACATAGAAATAGAATAAAAACTTCTATATTTGTTTTATGAAGCTACTACATATTGATCCTAAAATATAAAAAGATTGCACCATAAAAGAAAGCTACAAACTTTATTATGAATATTGATGAAAAATCTTACATAAATGTTTGCAGACATGCCAAGAGCATACCAAAAAAAAAAAAAACAAACAAACCCAGAACACTATGACTAAATGACTAAATGAGGTTTATTCCAGGAAATGACGTGTGGTTCCATGTAAGAAAACACATTGATATAATCAGTTTCATCATTAAAGTTATATAAAAAATCATATAGTAATTTTCAGTTACATCAGGGGTATCTAACATTGTTCAATCTCTATAAATGTTAAAAACTGTCAAGAAATAAAAATTAATAGATTTGTCTTCATATATACACAATAAATCCGTGCATGTATACATCTATACATACATGTATGCATATTCAGAGTTATAGCAGCCTATGGACCAGCATATTTCTTCCGCTAAAGTCAGGCATTAGCCAGAATTCTATCTTCAATTCTATATTATATATTATGTTGTGAAAATTCATCAGTGTTATTAGATACCAGATAACATCCCATCGAATAACCCCAAACCTACAATATCTCGCTAATGTTTAAAGAAACTTATTGTCACTAGGCATCTGAAAACTTCCATGATCTGCCTTTGACCTACTTACATTTCTAGCCAAATGTTCCATTACTTCCTTTTCTATTCCCCAAACAGTGATATTTTAACATATTGAACATTTTGTCTATCTCTCTTCCTTTATTCATATTTTTTCCTCAGTCTGAAATTGTTACTTCATCTTCAGTCTGTATTTGATGAAATCTTACCAAAGTGTTAAGGTCCTACTTCTATGTCAGAGAGGAAGAATATTTCTCTTGAAACATCTGTTTCCTTCTTTGTCTTTCTTTACATTATTACCACTTTTTGTACTGAAATTCAGTTTGTGTTTGTTTTCCTCACTGATTTAAATTTAAAACTCACTGAAGGCATAGGGGCCTTTTGGGTTTTCCTAAGCAGTTTGATTGTTGTTTTCCTGAAAAGGAATAGGTCTTTGAGGTGGCACTCACCTGTAATGTTGTTTTCTGAAAACACTATGGCTATGTTCAGCTATGAAATAATCCATTGCTAAGATGCAGAGTGGGAACAAACCATCCATTGCTATTTATAGAAAGTTATAGCAAATGGCCCTAGTTGCACAGTTTACATTGATGTAGCCATAACTTCTTAAGATTCATAGATCTGCTTAATAGCACTCAAAGACCAAAATAGTTGATCCTATATAAAACACTATTGATGAAATGTATGGTCAATAAAAAAAACTTTGACAAAGTGCAGACAAAGAGATAGAAAACTCTCTACAGAAATTGCTTCACAAAGATGTGAGCAGCCAGCTATGTCTCAAACTATGATAAGAAAAGAATTAGAAAAAAATTTTGAAAGATCCTGTAGAATATTTTTATATACAGATAAGAACTTATCTTATGGATATATTTACCTATATCTTAATGAGAAGGTATCAGAAACAATAATAATCCCATTATATTTTGCTTTATATTATTTATCATTTGCTATATATATATACTTGACTTAAGTAGGGCTTTGAGTAAAACTCATATGCTTTTTGTCACATTATGTAACTTTATATTGTTTTTTATTATATGTATAACTCTATAGTGGATATGTGTATACTCCTAAGAGTGATCATGTTCCTCCTGAGCTCAAAACCATCCAATGCCTACAATACAATTAGAATACCATTCAAACTTTTGATAAGGCTCTGTAAGATGTTACATGGCTTGACTCCCCACTCCCTCTGTGATTCCATTTTCTCTCACTCTTCCTGACTCACTTACTCTAGCCAAAATGGCAAGCTGGTTGTTCTTCAACACATCATGCAAGCTTCCATATTAGAACTTCTATCCATGTACTTCCCTGTTTGGAAAACTCTTCCTGCACTGAAAATAATAATAATAATAATAATAATAATAATAATAATAATAAGCCAAGTAGGTAATTTCCTTTCTGTGTACTAAACACTATTGAGATGAGACGTATTTACTTGTTCATAGGCTAACACAGCTTAAAATAAATGAGAGGAATGTAGCTGCTTGTTCCAGGAAATATTTGTTCACAGATATAAAACTGAACAAATGAAAAAACTTAATTATCAAGATAGCTTGTTCATCATGATGTGCTTCAAGATCCTCGCTTTACTTTGGCCACAAATCTAAAGCTGTATGTCCTAAAATCTGCCCAATTCCTACCAGTTCTCTGACTTACAAGACCCATCTTAACATCACGTAGTCCAGGCCCTCAAAAATCTTCCCCAACTCCCACATCTTGACACCATCAATGTGATGTTTGTTCTTTTTTTTTTTTTTTTTGAGAAAAAAAATTTTTTATTATACTTTAAGTTTTAGGGTACATGTGCACAACGTGCAGGTTTGTTACATATGTATACATGTGCCATGTTGGTGTGCTGCACCCATTAACTCGTCATTTACATTAGGTGTATCTCCTAATGCTATCCCTCCCGCCTCCCTCCACCCCACAACAGGCCCTGGTGTGTGATGTTCCCCTTCTTGTGTCCATGTGTTCTCATTGTTCAATTCCCACCTATGAGTGAGAACATGTGGTGTTTGGTTTTCTGTCCTTGCGATAGTTTGCTGAGAATGATGGTTTCCAGCTTCGTCCAGTGATGTTTGTTCTTGAAATAAGATTAATAAGCTCAGCTTTGCTAAATTAGCCAGTTTCCTAGTAATATTTCTGTAAAGACTTTAGCATTCCAGGTACCTGTGTGGTTAGATCATTCCTTTAAATATTTTCATAAATACTAATGTATCAGAAAATTTTTCCCTGACCACATTATTTTAATTGGTACCTCCAAGCCCTTCCCAACCCACACTGTCTTTACCATGTTCCTATCTTTATTTACTTTTCTTACTAGCCTTTATGTGACATTTAGCATCTATTTATTTCTTCCTGAAACCATCTCAGTTTTCCACCTGAATCATCACATCCCCTAATTAAAATGTAAGCTCCATGAGAGCAGGAGCTGTGAAAATTTTGTTTGGTAGTTCACATTCAGTTCCTGGAACAGGGCTCAGCATTCAGAAAGTGCCAAATTAATATTTAGAGTTGCCATGTTCTCATACATAAATCAAATCTGATCGCTAGTCACCACGTAGCCAGAAGTGTGTGCTGAGCCATATTGGTCCAAAAAAGTTACTTCCCCAAGTCTTTTAACATGGAACCCAGAAAAACTAAAACCTTGTCAGTCATATTTTCTCATACGTGGAAAAACCTGGAACGAGGTGCAAGTTGATGAAAACAACTTCCCAGGACAATAATGAAAGGCGCAAAGCTCAGGGTCTGCACTTTTTTATTTTATTTGGTCATCATATGTATTTGCATGAGTACATTTCTGACCATACCACAATTTGTTTGTTTAAAACTCTCCTGAATTTGTGAGTGAATCCAATTCAGTCAATTATAACTGTGGTGTGCTCCTATAAATCCTAAATTAAAAGTTACTCATCAATATCAGTTCAGATTGTGCATAAACCAGGTATACTTAATTAAACATTTTAGTCAAGAATATGGGCCCAAACTGGCATATCATGATAAAGAAATTAAAGAAACAGAACATGACTCAACATGGCAAGTCAATAAATGTGGCAACCCTCGGCACTTGTTGAATATTTGTTGGACCAGTTAAACTAGAATCTATTTTCTTTAGTCCGTATGCAATGTATTCAAATCTTCCACAGCTTAGGATTTCAAATGAGGCTTATATTTTAAGGTTGTTGGTTTGGAAATAGTTATATTAGATTTTATTAATTTTGAATTTTGATTTTAAGGAAGAGATTGTGTGGTTTACATTATGAATGATGGAATAGACTACTAAGACACTCTTTCATTTCGACACCTATACAGATAACATTCAGTCTATGAAAAAGTATGTGCTAGGTAGGGCCACTGAATGCTGGCCTTATTGTCCATGACAGATGTCTGTGGTCAAGAATGGCAGGAGATATTTACTATCTATACATAGAATCTATTCCCAGCTGCATCCTACCCTGCTCACTTCAGCTACAGGATCACCAGATAGCATGAAAGATGCCAACTTAAATTTGAACAGCAGATACATAATGAAAATTTGTAGAATACATATATCCAAAATATTGCATGGTAAATACATAGACTGAAAAAAATGTTTATCTGAAATTCAAATTTAACTGGGCATCTTCCTTCCTTCCTTCCTTCCTTCCTTCCTTCCTTCCTTCCTTCCTTCCTTCCTTCCTTCCTTTCTTTCTTTCTCGAGACAGGGTCTCACCTTCTTGCTTAGGCTGTAGTGCAGTGTCATGATTATAGCTCACTGTAGGCTTGACCTCCCAGGCTCAAGCCATTCTCCCACATTAGCCTCCCTAGTAGCTGGGACTACAGGCATGTGCCACCATGCCTGGCTTATTTTTTTAAAAAAATGTAGAGATGGGATCTCATTATATTGCCCAGGCTGGTCTTGAACTCCTGAGCTCTACAGAGCCTCCAACCTCAGGCTCCCAAAGTTCTGGGATCAGGTGTGAGCCACTGCACCCAGCCCATCCTGCATTTCTATTTGCAAATTTTGGCAACTCTACCTCAGGGCAACTAAACCTTCTTGCTATGGAGTGTTCTTAATAATACAAAAAGAGATGCATCATTTTGAGGGGGGTTTATTTTAACAAGAAATATCAGATAGAAATAGATATGGATGATAGTTGGCGCGATCAACAAAATTAAAAGTGTGAAAGCATGTCATTACTTGTGTATATGGGCTTTGTAATTTTCAAAGAATTTGACATGCATTAACCCCTTCTGTAGGATGACAAAATGTAAGAGCAGCTGTAATCTTAGAGACCAATGCATCCCTTACTGAGAAAATGACATCCATAGATTATACTGATCAGTTATCATTGACTATAGTATTTAGAGTAATTAGGAATTTCGCATGGCAGTTAAATCTCACTCAATTTTAGATGATTCCAACTATGAAACATTACTTGTGTCTCCTGAGCTATCATTTTTTTCTTGTAATTTCTGCCCACTAGTAATAGAATGTCCTCTGGAACAATAGAGAACAAGTTTAGTTATCCTGC
Source organism: Homo sapiens (assembly GCF_000001405.40). Lineage (NCBI taxonomy): Eukaryota > Metazoa > Chordata > Mammalia > Primates > Hominidae > Homo > Homo sapiens. Next base: position 30,213,087 of record NC_000009.12, on the reverse strand, counting down.
TCATATTCTATTCTTGAAAAAGTTGATTTCTGGATATCTAAATAAAATTTGTATTTGAGCATAAAAAGATACATGTTAATAATTATTATATTTAAGACAAATTTTTGAGCATATTTTAAAAATGTTTGAAATAAATTTTTAATCCAAAAACTATTGAGCTGAGTAAAAAGAAAATAGACACAAAAGAGTGGATATTATGATTCGATTTTTATAAACTTCTAGTGAGGATGACGAACTTATAGTGGCATAAAGCACGTCAGTGGTAGGCTGGGGCTGATGGACACAAGGGGACATTGGAGAGTGATGAAATATCTGTATGTGATTGAAGTTGTAGTTACATGGGTAAATCACTTTGTCAAAATGTATCGCATTGTACATGTAGAATGAGTACATTTATAATGTGTAAATTACAACTCAAAAAAGTTGATTTAAAATTATATCAAAGTAACTTACCTCATTTTTATTCCTGAAGATAAAGAGTTGCTGTAATAAAATAATTAGTAATTAAATGTTACCTTTAAAGCAGGTCTTTAAAGAGAAAAAAAATTATACATATCTAAACTCATATTACAAATAATCTGCATGAAAATATAGTTTATGTCCTAAGGCAGAAAAGGGTTAGGTTAATATCTAAAGTACAACAAGTTAGTATAAAAATGTTTTCCTTAAAATGGTTGGAAAAGAGTGTTTCAAAACTATCTTTCTTAAAAAGAAACTTATATAATCAGCATTTTTGAAGTATTCTTAAAATTATTCAGTTTGTGTAATACTACATCTTCAATGTGATTATTTTAGTCCTATTTTAATGCTGTATCAGTATATCATCCTAATAGATATGTTACTTTGTTGGCAGGCAACAGAAGCTGCTTCTCCTTAGAACTGTGCAATTATCATGTCTAACTTTGTTACATTTATATTCTTCTAAATATTTAAGAAATGCGTCCATATTGTCAATAATAAAACCCACTAGGTAGTAAATTTTCCGGTAATTATATGTGGCATTGGTTAGAATCTTAATGTCATGTAATTTTACCTCTCAAGAAACGTAACCATCACCCTTAAATTGTACCACGCAGGGTGCACTAGTTTTTCAAGAATAAAATCTATCAAACAAGTATGAGAAAAACAATTTGCAAGTTAGTCAAATGAGGTGGATATTATATTTATTAGATATCAAGGTAGGGTGTTAAATGCTGCTGCTGCCTAAAACCATTTCATAATTTGATAAAATAACTAACAGGTGGTTCTACTGCTGTGCAAACCAGGGAAATGAGAAAAGATGAATGAAATAAAAACAAATCATTTGTATGACAAAAAATAAAGTTTATATAAATTGGGATAGATCTACTTTTAGCATTGGTTGATAAATATCAAAAATCCCCATGTATTTATATATTATTTAATATAACAGCTAGTATTACAGGCCTAACATACAAAAAAATTTTATAAAGATGAATAAGACATACTACTAGTCTGAAATACCTGCAATAAAAGTAAAGGATCTAAAATAGAAGAAATTGAATGTTCCAGCTACTGATCCAGAAAAACATTGTGAGGAACCTTGTTTCTTGCAACAGTGAACTAGGTTGTTTTAAACAAACATTTTTAAGAGAATAAATAGAATGGATGGATAAAACATGAAGCCATCAAGAAGCTGACAAATAGCAAATTTTGAAGGAGAGGGAAGACACTGAAGATAAGACCGATTGGCATAGCATTTGACATTGTGTTTCCCCTATAAAATAGCGGCAATTCCAAAAGTCCTACTGAGAACTGAGACCTTTAGTAGGTATTTCTGTACTTGTTACACAGCTGGAGAAATAGGAAATGAAGTGTAAGCCCTGCCACGCAACTGGCAAACATGCCACATTTTCAATAAGAATCCAGAAGAGAAATGCCCCTGAGTAGGTGTAAAGTAGACCATTTCTCACAAGAACTGAAAACCAGTGTATCATCATTTGAATCCATGACCGGCTTGAGGTGATTTTCACCTAGCTTAATTGCACAACAAAAAATAAAATAAAATCCTTCTGAGAAAGAAAAGAAACTACTATCTCAGAAATGCAAGCCTCCTGTAAATGATCAGGTCCAGAGAAGCATGGGGATGAGACAGCAGTCATATCCCACCTCCTGCCTGCCTTGAGCTAAACAACCACCTCTTGAAGCTGCTGGCCATGTGCACTGAAGACTGCTTGCCACCACAGGTAGCTATACATCAACTTAACAATGCTGCACGCTGGACCCTCTAACTCATTTCATATAGTTCAACAATGTAGCCAATCACTAATCAATGTTATTTCTGTAAACCAATGAGAATTCCTGGCAAACAACTTTCTGTCAGCCCACTCTTTGTCCTGTGTTTTGCCTTTAAAAACCAGCTTGTAACACAGGCCAAATGGAGCTCATACCCAAGGTTACCTAGGTCTGAGTCTTCAGGGCAGATGTCCTCATCTGGGCTCAAGTAAACTCTTTAAAAATTATATTTTATGTCTCAGTTTCTTCCTTTAAGTCAGCTTCTCCATTATATAAAATAATGTGTAAAATTCATTGTAGATTTTATTCAATAACCAATAAAAAACCATGAGACATGCAAGAGGACTTAGAAAGCAAGAGAATAGCAGAGGGAGGAGACTCAAAGGAAATAAAGGTAACAGGATATGCACTTTAAAATAGTGGTGAATAACATGTTCAAGAAAAGGAAACATACATGGAGCATTTCAAGAGTAAAGTGGAAAATATGAAGATAAATGAAAATTTAAGAACGAAAACCTAATTTATAAGTAAAATGTGTTTAATAATTTCTAAGACACAGCTAAAGAAAGTATTCCTATTAAAGATGTTTCTGAAGAAAACAGTGAATCAAAGAGGTATTACAAAATGGAAAATATAAAAAATAATGTAAGAGAAAAAAAATTTAACATGTGTTATTCGCCTCCTTCGAAGCTTCCAGAGAAGGTAACAAAAGCCAGACAAATCTACAATGTTTACACATAATTTTGCCCTCAACCTCTTTCAAATTTCAGAACATTCACATAACAAATGCTGGCCCTTCTACCTACCACTCATCAGTATTCACCAAAGGTAAAAGTCTCAATACTTGTAATGTGACTGCATGCTAGGTGTTGTGGTCACTCTATTTACTACTAGTAGGGTGGTTTTAGTTACCATCTGATCATCAAAATTTGAAAATCAAACACTGAGGTCCTCTTTTTAGGGTGACCTATGGAGCTGGCTGCTTCAGTTTTGATTGCCCACAAACTAGACACAAAGAATGAGATTTCAATGAGGCAGATCACTTGTTCTTCACAAGTGAGAAAATGGTGAAAATGAGAGAAAAAAAGAAAAATATATATGTATATACAATTTACAACAGTGGGCAACCGGAGCCCAATCTTCTGGGGCCCTCTGTGATATATGTGTAATGCAGCCCAGAATTCTCCTGTGGGAAGACAAGAAAACCAGGACATTTATCCCCTAGCTTCATTCCCCATGGAATGAAGGTTTGAGGGTTTTTCCCAGGAGCATAAATTTTCCCACATTATGATTTGGTTGGTCCCTGCACATACCTGTGCAAGGTTCCTCAGTATCAGAGAAAGCCCCCTGGTAGAGGAGATACACATTGCAGGAGGACAAGGAGCCTTTAGCATTCCAGAGATTGTTTACCGGCACAAGGAAACTTAGATGGCCTGAAGGGAAATAGTAGGCATCTGCTCAACACTCAAATGTCCATCAATATTAGAAGGAAAATATATATTATAAAACATTCATACAATGGAGGACTATACAGGAATAAAAGTAAATAGTCTACTGCTACTTAAAAGAATTTTGATGAGTCTCACAAACATAATGTTGAGTAACAGGAGCCAAACACCAAATAATATACATAGACTTTTCAATTTATATGAAGTCCAAAAAGAAAAAAATCAAACCAATGGTGTTAAAAGTCAGGATAGTGGACAAATTTTGGGGGGAAAAACTGGTAATGATTACAGGGACACGAGAGAGTCTATCTGATTATGTTGGTAACATTAAAATTACTTAACAGCATAATTGATGCATGAGTGTGTTCACATTGAGAACACATTGTTAACTGAGCTGTACATATAATTTGTGCAATTTTTGCGTGTATGTTATGCTTCAATAAAAAGCTTTCTTGTAAATATATTTGTCTAGTTTTTCAATATGTCCTTAATCCCTTTCTGTTCAGTATCAAGCTTGTCAGAAGAAACATACTCTCTTAGATTTCATGAATAGCCTAAAAACTGATAAATTCATTGTAATTTTCTCAATGTGTATTTCATCCACTTGTCTCTTCTACTATATTTTCAAATGCATTTTTTATTAAAATTTTCTCCTCCTTTCATTTCTATCATATTATGTTTACAAATTTACTTCTTATCACTTCTTTTTATTTGTAATAAAGTATCTATTTTGAATACCTTCCACAAATATAAACATAATTCATATTTTCTATAAAAACCATCCTCGATTTATCCAAAGAGTACTCTTTGTTCTTTCCTATTGTTGTAAATTGGTTGTTTGCATGGACTTTGACTAGCAAAGAAGAAAAATGGGCAAGTTGTTATATAATGAAGCTGTATCTATGTATTTAAATGGTATATATAATTTTTAGAGACATAACTATATTTATAATCACTGTCCCATAGTGCTATGCTTATATCCCAATCTCTAATAATATATTGCCAAAAAGAGTTGTTCAGGTTCAAATAGCACTTTAATGTTAATGAGAAGGCTTTGCTCCATTACCTCGATGAGGAAGATATTCCTACCCTATGCAACTATATAAAATAGTACTTATGAGATTACTGAATCATCCAATATAACTTTCATTCTATAATGAATGATCTTTATATAGACAATACTTCCAATATCACTAAATATTTTATTTGTTGACAATACTACCACTTTATAATGTGATGAAACTTCTTTAATTTTTAAATATGGAACTCATTTCTTATTATAGATTTCATAATAATTATGGAGACAAATTTACTACATACAATTTTAACATTGTTGATTTAGTTTACACATTCAAATATTCATCAGTTTTAACAATATGTTTACAATAAATATATATAATTATATTTGCAACATATATTATAGTCATGTACCACATAAGAAAATTTCAGTCAACAATAGACTACATATATGACTACATAACAATTTCAGTCAACAATAGACTACATAATCTACGTGGTCAGGTAGATTACAATACCATATTTTTTCTGTACCTTTTCTAGGTTTAGATATGTTTATGTACACAAATACTTCACATTGTGTTAAAATTGCCTACAGTGTTCAGTACAGTAACATGCCATACAGGTTTGTAGCCTAAAAACAATCAGCTGTATCATATAGTTAGTTGTGTAGTAGCCTATACCATCTAGGTTTGTGGGAATACACTCTATCAAACAATGATAAAATCACTTGATACGGTTTGGCTGTTTCCCCACCCAAATCCCATCTTGAATTGTAGCTCCCATAATTCCCACATGTTGTGGGAGGCACCGGATGAGAGGTAATTGAATCATGGAGGCAGCTTCCCCCATACTATTCTCGTGGTAGTGAGTAAGTCTCACAATATCTGATGGTTTTATAAGGGGTTTCCCTCTTCGCTTGGCTCTCATTTTCTTTCTTGTCTGCCACCACATAAGATGTGCCTTTTGCCTTCTGCCTTCTGCCATGATTGTGTGGCCTCCCCAGCCATGTGGAACTGTGAGTCCATTAAATCTCTTTTTCCTTATAAATTGCCCAGTCTCAGGTGTGTCTTTATCAGCAGCATGAAAACAGACTAATACAATCACATACTGATGCGTTACTCAGAACATAGCACTACTGTTAAGTAATGTATGACTGTATATATAACTTAAATAATGCATTATATAATATAAATTATAAGACAGCCAAGAAATAATATATAAAACTGTCAGTAGTCACATATAGGCGAAGAAATACCAGTGTGGCACACTTCTGTAGTCAATTCAAAATCAAATCAAAACTCCTACAATGAATAATCAGGGTTCATTTTTCAGACTGTGGAAATATTGATAATATCTAAAGCTGACAAGAGTGTGAAGAAAGTTGTCCTCTTGTGCAGTTAGTATGAGTAGGAGTAGGTTTAAGCCATTTTGTAAAAAATCAATCAATCTATCTTAATTTAATTATATTTACTTTTCTTAATAACTGCATGTCTTCTAGATGTTTATTACCAATTTTTATGAGCCTGGTATCTCCAGATGCCATGCATGTGAAGAAGAGGGAAATGCCAGTGGCCCCTTTTGGCTTAAGAAACAAATGATACTTTCAGCAAATATAGATGCCAATTTAAGTATTAGTACCATGGTAACAGATCAGTAGGAATGAAAGACTTTTAAAGTTTAAAGAATATTTTTACAGAACATAATGTAGCAAGTCTGGATGTCCTATAATATTCTCTTTTCATGAATTATTATTTTCTGAGAATAGTTTTATTCTGAGGAATAGTGGTTTCTAGTAGCTTTGTAAAATATGTTTTTGTTTTTTCTCTTGTCAATATTTCTTTATCCGTATAGTAGAGGTACCTGCAATTTTAAGACTAAGTACTGGAATAGCATTATTTAAAGAAAGGAGCAGGCTTGGGAAGCCCAACATTCAATACAGAAAACAAAGGGCAGAAGGAAAATTTGAAGAATTTCCTTCAATTATTTTACTGTAATATTTACATAAATGTGAACATATTGCTGTAAACATAGGCATAGTAAAAATATGTAGTAGTTCATCTTAACATTTGAATTTAGATTAACCCCTCTAAATATCCATCAATAAGAGGATTGCTGATAAAATTACTGTTTGCCAATATGCAGTCAAAACAACAAAGAAGTCTTTTATGTATGAACAATGAAATTTGCAGAAAAAACACATTATAGAATAATATGAGCATTTTGTTTTATTTAAACACTTAAGCCCCTGCCAATAATGTCCAACTAATTTCGCTAGTGCCAACCCAACATCTCAAACATGTCCCAACGCAGTTGTTTCCTTCACTCTAAGAATTTTCAGAGTTACTAGAAACTTGGTTTACGGATGTACTTCAACAATCTTTGATTGATTGGTCTCTTTGCTTCCAAATTTCTGAGCTGTCAGAGTAATCACATACCATATGTGGTATAAGATATGAAAAGAGAAAGACTGTAAAACTCTATAAGTTTATCTTATGACATTATTGCTTTGACTGACAAAATTATTATGGATATACATTTTCAGAAAAGAAACACTGAAAGATGAAAAAAGAAAGAAAGAAAGAGAGGGAAGGAAGGGAGAGAGAGAAGAAAGAAAGAAAGAAAGAAAGAAAGAGAGAGAGAAAGAAAGAAAGAAAGAAAGAAAGAAAGAAAGAAAGAAAGAAAGAAAGAAAAGAAAGAAAGAAAGAAGGAAAGAAAGAAAGAAAGAAAGAAAGAAAGAAAGAGAAAGAAAGAAAGAGAAAGAAAGAAAGAAAGAAAAAGAAAGGAAGAAAGAAAGAAAATAAGAGAAAGAAAGAGAGGAAGGAAGGAAGGGAAGGAAAGGGAAAGGAAGGGAATAAGGGAGACGGGAGGGAGGGAGGGAGTAAGGAAAGGAGGAAGGAAGGAAGGAAGGGAGGGAGGGAGGGAGGGAAGGAGGGAAACTTGAGAAACCATTGCCCTTAAATAAAAAAGACCACTATTCTAAATGAAATGACAGTGTGTTTCTGGGATAAGCAAAATATGTATCCTAATTAGAAGTAATTAATGAACAAAGCTTGCAAATGTAGGTCTATAGTACTATGGTATACTTTATACACAGCTTTTCTTTTCAAACTACTGATGACATATAACTTGTACCAATTTATGTGTAATAGTTTTATATTTGTTATTGCATATTCACTTTTTATGTCATTATATTATACATTATAATGAAATGTATAAACATTCAGTATCAAATTTAAAAGAATCAGAAGTATTTGAACTCTACTTAATGGATTAAACATCCCAGTATTTTGAGTTTTAATACTTTTCATGGAGCAAATTATTTTAAATGTTTCATTATTTTAAGTAAATAATACTGGCATTATACAATATTTAATTTAGGTGCTCTAAATTACAAGAAATTGCAAAATATCCTCCCTGGCTCATTAAGGATCATGACTTTTCCACTTCAGTTCTTCATTTATCAGCACAAATTAATTTTCATGAGATTTCATTTGGCCACCCTTGGGAAATATGCCACTCCTTGTTGACTTAGCTGTCATCACAGGTTCATGCCAAACAAAATATAGTCATTAGGCAGCAAGTACTGGAGGCTGGGCAGGTTCACTTGGGGGAGAGTTTAGAGGTGATAAACCACTTACATAGCTCTAGTGTTATAGATTTGGCTATATTCTTAATAATCATCATATCGTCAATTGACCAGATTTTTAAAAAAGAAGAAAAATAAAATGTTTTTGGGCTATCTTTATTCCATTATCGCTCATGAAATAGAAGAGACTATGAAAGTTGGAGACAAATGCTTTCTACTACTGCGTTTAACTAGACAATATGGTATAATCACTTGAGGTTTTTATACTTGTATTTGTAAGGACATCATATTTATGTTTTCCAAGGATACATTGTAGCAATTAAGAGAATAAAGCAAGCCAACAAAATCCTTTTAGAAATGAAGAACAAGTACAAGCAGATTAACATTAAGTATTGCTAAATTCAGAATGAGACAGAAGAGAGGTCCAGTTACTGTCAGTTTATTAGTCAAGAGGTCATTTTGGTGTAGTAGTTCTCAGTTTGTGTAACAGAAACTCAAATTTTACTGGAAAGCTTTAACAACTAATAGCTTTAGCCATTTTGAAAGATGATGCTTTAAAAAGTATACATTAGTTACTGTTTCACCTTCTTTAAAAAACAATGTTTAAATTAGCCTGATGGAGTCTCTATTTATAATGAAATATGATAAATATAAACCCAATTGAAATTCTGTGGAACATTAATGTAGAATTTTAAGAGGAATTCCTGGAATCTAGTATGCACACATTATAAGTAAAGTAAGAGATTATGACAGAATGCTGTTCTAAAACCAGAAGTCAAAAACATGACTGCTAGTCCAGGTGCAGTGGCTCACACCTGTATTCCCAGCACTTTGGGAGGCTGAGGCAGGCAGATTGCTTGAGTCCAATAGTTCATGACCAGCCTGCACAACATGGCAAATGTCTCTACTAAAAATTTGAAAAGAAACATAAGCCAACATGGTGGCACACTCCTGTAGTACCAGCTACTCAGAAGACTGAGGTAGGAGAATCACCTGATCCTAGCAGGTCCAGGCTGCGATGAGCTGAGATCCCACCACTGCACTTCAGTCTGGGTAACTGGAGTGAGACTCTATCTCAAACATAAACAAACAAACAAAAATTATAACTGCTTATAGGGGAGGGAGACTGATTTTTAAAAGAATCAAAACTTGAGAAAGTATAGAAAGCAGGGGTTTTCAGTGAGAAAAAATTCCTGAAAGGATTCTATTTAAGTTTTAATTTTCTCTCACTTTTGAATATTAACAGTCACTTCAAAGTCTTCTAAACCTCTTTATGCATAATTGGGTCGTGTACTCTCCCATTTAGCTCTGGTAGTGAGGATAGAGTAATGCATGGCTGAAGCAGGAGAGGAAGATGCCATTCTAAGACAGTTGTGATCTCTGATTCAAATTTGGAATATAGAGGAGTTGAAGACTGCAAACTCATGGTGGTATCTAGAGTGAAATGAAAACTTGGCAACCAGAACCACAACCACCCTGAGAAAGATCAAAAGTACAGGAGCTGACAGAAACATCCATTTAGAGAATAAAGAAATTTTCATATTTTAAAATTTTGTTTTGTGAGATCAAGACCTATCAAAATACTACATTTCTAGTTTGAGAATAAGACACCTTTCATTAAGTTAGAAGGGTAAATATAAATGACATGACATACCCAATTGTGGATTTCAGAGACTGAGAAGTTAAGTAATATGTCCAATCATGATTTGAACCCAGGACTGCCAGACTTCTTAGAATCCCATGTACTTCTCAGTCTTCTGACAATAGATAAAAATACATTTCATATCACCCAATAACTGGAATTTAGCACTCTAAACTCTAATTCCTTAATGACACTGTACAGATTCTGCTTTTTAATGTTATAATTTTGCTTTCCTTTGATTTGTCAGCACTTGAATTGGTTTATCTTGGTTCTACTAACAGCGTGTCTAACTAGTTAAATGAATAATGAAGCCTCAAAGAGAAACGTAATAATAATAATTTTGGCTTCCCTCTGCCTTCTCCCAGTAACCCACTGGTTACTCCATTTCTTAAGATAAGTATTGTTTACATGTTGGCATGTAACATCCCAGACCCTTTTTCTATGCAAATCTAACATATATAGGATATAATTATAAAACATTTTATGAGCCAAAAATCCAGTTTTATATAAATACCCAATAACTCTTTTTCACATACTAAATTCCATACATATTTACTTAGGCTCCTATGCTGTGACAGATCTGTAGGCTTATCAGAATTACTGAAAATATTAATATAAACTTTGCTGGATAAATTATACCCATATTTGATGTAAAATCTATTTCCAAAGAGGTATGATCCTTCGACCATTATGTACTTGTTAAATATTTTCTCTTGTATTAGTTTTTATTATGGTATCTTAACAAATTACTACAAATTTAGCAGCCTGAACAACACAAATTTATTATCTTGCAGTTTCCGTAAGTCAGGGACTCAGGTAAAAATTAATTGGTACTCTGCACAGAAACTAACCAGGCTGATGTCAGCTAGAAGTGCTATCTCATTTAAGGCGGGAGATCTTCTTCCAACCTCGTTGGTTGTTGGTAGAATTCAGTTTCTAGCAGACACAGGATTGAGACCCTTACCTCCTAGAGGTTGCCCACCATTTTGTATCATTTGGCCCTCTCTCATAGCATGGCAGTTTTCTTTCTCAATCAATCTAAGATGCCCATAAGGGAGCATCCTCTGTATCTGACTTTCAGACACTCTTTTAATGGGGTCACTTAATTCATTCAGGACCCCATAGGATTATCTTCCTTTTGACTGACTTAAAGTCAGCTGACTAGAGATCTAAACACATATACAAAATGTTTTCACATTTGCCATATAATAGGATCTAATAAAGAGAGTGGAAATTCCCTCCTAGTCACAAGTCCTGCACCTACTCAAAGCATGCATTAATGCAGAGAATATATACCAGGGGGCTAAAATTTGTTGAACTGAATTGTTTCACCTCTATATCTATAGGTTGAAGGTCTTACCTCTATACCCTAGAATGTGTCTTTATTTGAAGAGAGGGTTTTACTGTGGATATCAAGTTTAAATGAGATCATTAGGGTAAGTTATAATCCAAAATGCTTTGTGATCCTTTAAGAAGGGAAAATTTGGATGTTGAGAGAGAATGCCATGTGAACATAAAGACAGACAAACATGAGCATAGTCATCTACAAAGAAAGTGTTCTGAAACCAAGACTTCTCTCATAGCCCAGAGAAATAATCAACTCTGCCAATACCTAGATTACAGATTTCTGGCCTTCAGAACTGTGACAAAACCAATTCCTATTGTTTTAGCTGCCAAGGTTGTTGTCACACCAAGTGTTATATTCCAGCCCAAGCTGAGGTCTGAGGGGAGTGGGTGGATGGGTGGCAGGTAGCTAAAAGAACACTCAGGGGGCAGCAGGCAAGTGAAATATGGTTTTATGATGTTTTCTCTCTCCATCTGCCTTTGGCTCAGCTGCCCACTCCAGCTGCAGCCCCTCTTAGCAGCCAGCTATGCTGCTCCTGCCACTCCCATGCCTATAGCTGCACTCCCTGGCGCACTTGCCAGTTCCTGGCTCCCGATGTCCACTTGCAAGGAGGCCAGTTCTCCTTTACAGGGTCAGCAGCCTTTCTGACCTTCTGGATGTGAGCCATATGTACAGCATCAGCAGTGCAGTTTTGCCTTTTACAGACAATAGTGGCACAGCGCAGAGTATGAGTTTACACAAACAGGTTATATAATGAGCAGAGTTGTGCACCTGTGCTCCAAAATCATCCTTGGTGTATTCTTGACCACAAGACATCCATTTTACTTACACTCCACCCCCTAGGCCGAGGGAGAAATAGGTCTTAGACACACAGGTCTTACACGTAGGCCTGATACATAGGTTTTGGGCACAAAGGCCCAACACAGGCTTGACACATAAGCCTGACACATAGGCTCTGGGCACACAGCTCCAACACACACACACAGGCTTGAGACATATGCCTGACACATAAGCTCTGGGCACACAGGACCAATACACAGGCTTTGCCCATAGGTCCTGGACACACAGATCTGACACATGTGGGCAACTACCACATGGTGACATTACCCCAATGTTGCTTTATATATTAAGCTAGGTTTTTTTGTTCTTCTACCTTTAAGGGCCTTGGGGCAGGCAACAACAGGTTCATCCCCATACCTGGTCAGAGACAGTCATCCTTCCTGCAATAGGTCTTGCCACCTGGCTTGGCCCTACACGGGCTAGTGACCAACCAGCCACTTCTGTAACTTCTAGTTAGTTAACCACAAGGTTAAGCCTCAATAAATTGCCCAGCTATTGGTGCAGATTTACCATAGGTGTCACCTCCTTGGTGATCACCATCCACACTGGCTGAGTTCAGCTCATTAGCTACTTTGCCCACACCCAGTATCAAACTATATAATGTCAGTACTGGGCTGAACTACGACAGCAGTCTAGGTAGCAGTATCAGAGCCCTGGCTAGACCCATCCATATACCATGTCCCATTAGGAGCGGGGTGAGTGCCTCAGGCCCCATGGCCTTATCTTGCATTAGGACTACAGGTCCCAAGACATTGTGCGGCTCTGCTGCTAAAGGACTTGTACTCAGAGTACTCTAAGTAGGCACTGCACTTTGCTAAAGTGGATGTCTGTGTCATCCCAGTCCAGGGGGTCATTACCAATGAATGCACCCATCCTGCTATCGGGTAAGTTGTCAGCATGACAACTGCAGCCCGTACTGTCACACTTTCATAAGCCTGAAGGGCAGGCAACAGGTACAGCTGCTAGCTGTTTCTCTGTCAAGGTATATCAGAGCTTAGCTCCTTTCCATCATTAGGACCAAAAGCTTACTGGCATTCTCAAGTGCTCTGTGCACTGCCACAGGTCCCAACTGAAACCATCTGTGGTCACATGCACATCCAGCTCAAACGGGCACCCCTGGTCAACTACCCATAGGGCTTGTGCCTGCTGAATAGCCCGAATGGCTGCCAGGAACATGGTCTCAGTCGCACTATCTTAATCACTTCTAAATCTGCAAGAGAATCAAAGGTTAACATAATATCATCAACAGGAGTATGACATATGGTGGGGCTATGCATCTAGCCCTGTGGCAACACTGAAAGTCCATTGTTGCTCTTCCATGAAGGCAAACTGTTCCTGGCTCTCTGGAAAAGAATCCATTAGCCAAGTCCACCACATAGTGGTATTGTCCCAATTCCATCGATGAGCAGTCCATGATAGATGGCACAGCTGCCAAGCCTGTAAGACATCCACCCCCAGAATATATTCAGGTATGGGAGAGACATACACAGTGCATAAGTGGGGAGCCAAGTGGCTGAGGCTGAGGTGCAGAGATAAAGGTTTTACTTTCAATGACCAGCCTTCATAGCTGTCTATACAGCCTTGCCCGGAAACTTATCCAGGTGCAGGCACCAGTGGATTGCCAAGTCGACATGTGGCCTCCAGTCGTCTGGTGTTCCCCCAAGCCAGGCACCTCGGCCAGTTCCCTAATCAAACACAAAAGGTTTTACATTTCCACCTGGCTGCAGCAGACAGTCTTTGAGATGAAACGTCCCGGCAGGACTGGGTCGCGCAGCATTACCCTTCTCCTGAATGACTTACACCAAATCTGTATATGACTGCCTTCTACTGACAGTTTCTGGTATTTCAGAGGCATCAGTCTGCACTTAATTAAAGAAACTAGGTTTTCCATCTCAGAGGCAGAGCAGGAAATGCATCAGCTCCTTCCTCCCAGAGATGGAGCATTCAGGCAGGGAGGGGCTCCCCCGATGGCTGTCGACACTGCTTGCCTAACTCCAGCAACTTAGCAGGGATGTAGCCACTATATGAAGTGTGCTCCACCACGGTAGGGCGTCCTGGGGCCGACCTTTGGGGCCCAAGCGGCTGCTCCTGCTCTATTTTCTGGTGTACCATTGGACGAGCCTGTAACGGAGGTTTTTCCTCCTCCCTGGGCTGCAGCCTGCAGGGATTGGGCATGCACTTCCCACAGCACAGTCACAAACGCCCATCTGACTCTGCCGGCCAAAAGCACGCTCCTTCTCAGTGCTGTGCACTTCCGGGTGCCTTAGTGCTTTCCCCACACTTGCAGGCGACCCATCCACTGCCAGCCATGTTTCCTCCAGAGGCCATCCGCTCAGCATGGCTGCCACTGGCCGGGTACTACAGCTCATATTGCTGCCATATGGCTGACATGGAATCAGTGGGAGCCGAAGGCTAACTCACCTCGATATCCTGCCAACTACACAAAATGTCACACCAAGTGTCATGTTCCGGCCCAAGCTGAGGTCTGAGGGGAATGGGTGGATGGGTGGCAGGTAGCTGAAAGAACACTCAGGAGGCAGTAGGCAGGTGAAATATGGTTTTATTGTGCTCTCTCTCTCTCCATACACCTTTGTCTTGCTGCAAACTCTGGCTGCAGCCTCTCTCAGCACCTAGCTCTGTGGCTCCTGCCACTCCCACACGTACAGCTGCATTCCCCTATGCTCGCCCGTTCCTGGCTCCCCTCCATCCACCTACAAGGTGGCCAGCATTCCCTTAGAGGGTCAGCAGCTTTTCCCTCTCTCTCTCTGGTCACAAGCCCTATGTACAGTGTTGGCAGCACAATTATAGCGTTTACAGACAATTGTGGCTCAGAGCCAAGTATGAGCTTACACAAACAGGTTATATAATGAGCAGAGTTGTGTGCCTGCACTCCAAACTTGCTGAGTCATGCTGCAATGGATGTTTACCTAGGCCTATTCTTGACTGCAGCACATCCATTTTCCTTACAGTTGTGGTGCTTTATTATGGCAACCTTACCAAACTAACAGGGATCATCTTAGAATTCTGCCCACCACACTTCTGCATCCTTCCTTAGTTTTTATGTTCTTGCTATTATTAATATTCAATTTCTTCATACATTTATGCATTCTGGATGAGATACTGGCCATCTTGCAATGAATATTTTGGGGATATTTATTTAGAGATCAGGTTATGTTTTTGAAATATGTAGACCTACTTAAGAGTAAAACACTTGAAGGGCCACATATTTTTTCCCTTCTTAGAATCAACTTGACTGAGAATTGTGAAAACTCTGTTGGGATTTTAATTGGTTGCTTAGCAAGAGCAAGAATGTACTTCAGTCAGTGTCATTCAATTTCCCAAGCTTTGCAATCTTAAGAAATAACATGTACTGAAAGATTTCTCTGTGCCAGACAGGAGTTCTTTATATGTATTGTTGCCCCATTTTGCAGGTAATGAAACAAATTTCAATCAAGTTAAATATCTTCCTAAAGTCACACAGGTAAAACATTATGGAGATCAATTTCTGAACATGAATATTACCAGAAATCCATAGTTGGACAGATTCATGATAATGAAATGTACAGTACTAATAAATAATGCATATGCTAATATATTAGTACATGTAGAACGTCATTGTCCTAGTTTTAAAGTAAATGAGTGGTTATCAGAAGAATAGTTTTGTCAGTGTAAGTTAAGATTAGTTTTATATTTAAATATACAGACTCAAAAATAAAAGATTAAACAAAATGGAATTTTATGTCTTTATCCTGTAAAAATGTTAAGAGCTTGTCAGTTCAGAACAGAGACAACAATATAACGACTTCCAACTTTCCCATATGTCTTCACTAAGTTGAAACATTTATTCTCAAGGCTGTAAGCTATAATATCTACATTCCAACTGAGAAAATGAAGAAAGGAAATAAGAACCCCTACCTTTAAAGAGTTCTTACTTTCTTCTCCAATACTTTATTTCTGTTACTCTCAGATTGTCCAGGACTTAGATATATGTCCATCCATAACTACAAACAAAGCAAGGAATTGCATTTTCAGCTAACATGTTGGTATACTGCATAAATGTGAACGGAATGAGAGAGACAATGGGATGTTCTTGCAGCCAACAATCAACCAAAAACTTCTGCCACAGTGAGTGTACCAATTAGGAAGCAATTATTTACTCAAATCTCCAATTCAAACTGAATTGAATAATAATGAAATGTGATAGCTCACATAGCTTGAAGTCCAAAGGAGAAATGGCCTACAGGAATAATAGGATCTATGAGTCAATTGCATCAAAGAGAATGTTCATCCTTTCAGGTCTCTACACTTGCCTTCAATGATTTCTTCATCCATAACCTTCGTTTCCTACAATTTATATACGTATAAGCTACCATTAGTCTCCCACATTTCTTATGGATGTCAAGTAGGAAGTCAAAAAAATCTCCTCCTGAAACTTGAAAACATTGTAATTCCAATGGTATGAGTGAGCAACTTTAGCACACCTCAAGGGTCAATAAATTGACATTTGAATTTTATAAACTGATTAGCTTGAATGAAAAATGTGAGAGAGGGTTAGACATCTAAACTTGTTCATTTCAGCAAGCAAGAAGTTAGAACAAAGAAAAACAGATGATCTTGGTTAATATTTCATTCAGATGATGACAAGTCCTGCTGTATTTTTTTCTGCTCGACAATAGAATGTATTTCTCTGAGGAGAAACTGCAAAGCTTGCAGATACAGATGTCTCATTGCTAAGTATTACTGAAAATATAATTAAAATGATTCACTTTTATCTAAGGCTTTTTCTCAAAAGCTATTATGTTAGTGTTATTTCCAAAGATTTGATGATGTGACCTATTACTTAGAAGTTTCTGTTACCCAAAGCAAAATTTTAAATACAAGTTTATTCTGTGTTAAGTATTTTTAATATACATATTCTAATTTGTAAAATATATTCTCTAATAACATGAATTTTAATCAATTAAGGTAACTTTCTGAGATTTTTAAACATTGATTTTATTAATTTGGTTCCAAAATATTATCTTCAAGAGGATACTTTTGTATCACTTTCCAACCTCCCATCAAAAATGATAATATTTTTTATTTTCTATCTTTATACTTAAAAATAAAAAAATGCTTAAAATAGCATCTTACATTCAGTAGACTTAAGGATTAAAAAAAAGGAACATGATTCATTTTGCCTTATTTCTGTCCTAATATTGATAATATTAATTCCTTTGAAATATTTTAATTATAAAATGTAATATTCCAAAGAAGAATGGATGTAATTATTACTTAAAAATTACTTTTGTTACTATAGCTTTATAAACAGAGTATAAATATGGTAAGGTCTCAGATATAAACCAAGGAAACAAGCACAAACAAAAGGGAATACAGAAGACAAAGCTTCTCAAACTTCTGCATTGGTTTGGAGGAAATAATTCTGCTTTTTCATAGAACGAGTGGTGTCACAAAGAATGCTGTCTAATTTTTCATACAGATATGCATTTTTGCTTATTTTCTGAGGCCTTGTCTACCACATTTATCTGAAAGGTAAATGATCAGTTTTTTGTTTACATTGTTATCTTAAAACAGCTTATTTGTATATCTTAATGTGTGAAAGCCTCAGATAAGGCTTTCCCAGTGACAGAAATATTTCAAAATGCCTATAGTTAGGCCGTCTCAGGGTGAATTTCCATTTCCTTCTTATCCACCTAATCCAAAAAATGAAATTGGGAAAAAGAAGAAATATTAAAATAATTTAAAGATGGCATAGCCAGCAAAGACATCTGCTTTAATTTACTAAAAGCAAAATCAAGACTGTTTCCTCCCTACCTTCACATACAAAAAGTGATGTTTAGAACTAACACATTCTTATACTGACTGACTTTATTATACACGACAGAGCTTTTCTCAGCATACAGATTTACACTTTCAAAAAAAGCATTTCAATTTCAACTGTGATTCTCAAGTGATATCTCTCACTCTTATTATTTACGTTTTAAAAATAAAATAAGCTAAGTGAAATAAGCCAGACACAAAATGCCACATATTGTATGTATCATCCATTTATATGAAATATCCAGAATATCAAGTCTACCAATATATTTTCCAGGATCTGAGGAAAGGTAGGAATGAAAGTGACTGCTTAATGTGTATGGGTGGCTGTTTGGGGTGATGAAACAATTCCAAAACAAGAAAGTGGTAATGGTTGCACAACATTGTGAATTTACTAAATGCCACTTAATAGTATGCTTTAAAATGGTTAAAATGGTAAATTTTATTTTATGTGTAATTTACCACAGTAAGATGACAGACAGATAGGTAGATAGAGGGTACAAATAGCTATAGATAGATTCTATCATGTGGTAGAGAAAGTGTAGGTATACAGCTATACCCTTTAGTCAATGTGTTGCAGTGTTAAAGAGAAGGTGGAAAATACCAGCACTTAATGGTGACTTAATTAAGAGCATGGAAGAAGCTTTACAAATATGGAAGTTTTATTTAGCTTAATAGTATTTTTAAAAATATGACTAATCAATAATTTAAATATTTTACATAATATTTTTGAATATTACATTTTTTAAAAAAGGAAACCTGTCACTTCTGGAAAAATATCCTTCAATGGCAACAATCTGCTAGAGCTGTAGATTAAGAATTAGTAAATATTTAAAATTTGTTTGTAGGGTTATAATAACTGTAATACACTTAAATAATATGACTCACACCTCTAACCATCTTTAATTTTAACAAATTGGACCTCGATGTGGTCTATCAGTAGCATAAAATCTACAGTATCAATTTAAATGGTATACATGTGCGTATATGATAAATGAGTCTAATTCTTTGAAGGCAGTCTTAAAATTTATTCTAGAAGATCAGACATTTGCTCCTTCCCCTTTTTTTCTTCAGAAGTTCTGGAATATAGGATATTTGAGAGGACATAATAACATAATAATTAAGTTATTCAAGGGACATAATGATTAAACTTATCTAAATGTTGCTTTATATAATTGTAGCAACATCTCAACATTGAAAACCGTTAATCACCACACACTGGAAGGCTTAACAAATTCCAAACCAGATTAAAATTATTTCACAAATAATGAAACCAATGAATGGGTCAATATTGAATATGCTTTTTTTCCTACATAGAAAAATTGGTCAAGCGGAACAAAAATATCTCTTTCATATATGAAATCCCTGGAGAATTAAATGCATCGAGTTGTTTCTGCATTCTCCCTCCTCCGTTGTCTTGGGGATCTATAATAGACATATACTGGAATTTATGCTTAGTTTTGCTATTTTGGGATTTCCTCGTCCTGCCATTCAGGGTGGTTTCCAGCATTCATGGTTTCGTTATTCGTTCTAGAAGTAGACAGATGGATCCAGGCTAAGCCAATAATATCTTCAGGAATATGGAAATTTACACTAGAAGACAATTTATAACATCCAAGAATATGTGCTACTGAAGCCTTTAAGAATAAATCAGTTCTAACCATTTCTAAAATATGACTGTTCAATTCTTTGTTTCATGAAATATTTTAGTAATCTAAAATAACTTTGCCTTTTAATTGGCTGTTGCTTATACACATTTTTTTCCTGTACTTCCTTTGTATTTCCTTTGAGTGGAGTCTTTATGTCAATATGATTCATTTATACACCAAGAAAATAGCAAAATAATTACATGCCAACACACTAACTTTAACAAAAAGTTCTGTTTGGTTTAGGCTTTAAAGGGAGTAGTAAATGTATACACAAATAGTACTGGAAAATATCTAAAATGACTCAAAGGTAGATTTTAGATGTTTCCTACTGAAATATCATGGAGTTTTTAAATTTAAAAACTATGATACCATTTATTTTATTTTTTCATTTATTGAGAAAACTTTTACTGCTGTTAGGATCAGTGAAAATTACAACATATATCTTTTTTTATTGTAAATAGAGATAACTTATTCTCAGCTACCTTGGTCAGCTGATACAGAAAAAAAAAATTGAACTAAAGAAAAAGAAATATTCTTTGATGGCCCAGACACATTTGAACAAGATTGGAGAAAATATCTTTTTCTCAACATTAGTTAAAAATTGAAACACAGATTGAAAGATGTGGAATCTGCAACTATACAAGCAGAAATAAAGTTTTTGCAGGTTTAAATAAATTCATGATGTTTAATTTATGACATTATATTATGGGGGACGCTTTTAAGAAAACAGCTTGTACAAGGTATATTCGCAGACACTCTCATTGGCTCACTCTGGATGTGACACTGTTGTTTGAAGTTTACTGTTTAATCTATCTAGTTAGTTTAGCAGCTCAGCACAGATAGTCACTTTGAAGAACATTTTTTTCCTGTTACTGACTCTCGAAATCGTTGGTATCCTTAAAACTACCAAGGAAATACTAGCAGAAAAAAGTAACAAATCTCTCTGAATTGACAGTTTACCTATAAATGAATAAGATAAAAATAAAACAATGTTATTTGGTTGTTCTATGTTGACATTGTATTGCCTCTACTGTCTCATATTTAAAGGAAAAGAACATATTATCTCATCTCAACTATTTACTATGTACTCATATTATTTACAAGAATATGAGGTGTTGTAGTCTTTTCTGGCCATTATGTTTTGTATAATATGCCTTGCTCCATTGCAGTTTTTTATAATTGACTTTGCTTTTCAGTAAAATGAAAAGACCTTTGTTTTGGTTCCCAAGAAGGCAACATCTTTTAACGAAAATGTATCTTTGACTTCTCTCCATTTCATGATTTCCTTATTTCTTAGAAACCTTCAAAATATATTTTAAATTGACCCCTGTTAGAGATTGGTCTTCCTTTTTTAATAGGATGCAAGATTTTCCTGTCCTTTTTCTTCAACGTAATAGACATCAATTACATTATTTCAGTGTTTTACAATTTACAAAATATTTTTACCTATAGTTATTTTGACTTAATAAATATATTATAATCATCATAAATAATATTACTTTTAAAAAGAGGAAAGTGAGACTCTAAAGCTCACAACATAGGAAATTAAAACATGTGTAAATTAAACTCACAACAAAAATTAAGGGTGGGGTTTGTGTGTGTGTGATAACCTGTGTGGGAGACTTTGGAATAAATGATTAAAATAAAAAAAGTTCTCTCTTCATAAATATATACAATAGAGGGAATTTCTTTAGGGGTGTGTGTGTGTGTGTGTGTGTGTGTGTGTGTGTGTGTGTGTGTCTGAGATAATTTAAGGGGTGGGACTGAAAAGTTAATTCATGTGCTTGTTAGAAAAAATATGGCTTTTCCACCTTTGTAAATATATAAATATTTTCTTGTAGTGGGCTTAGGACTCGAACATGAATGTATATTTATCATGAAATGTATCATGAATAAAGATAGTTTCTATTATTTGAGAAGATTAGCTGAAAGAGTATTCAGATGTATTCAAATTACCCTGATATTATTGAAGGTGCATAACCTGGCTACTGTAACACATAGCCCACGATCTTGTGGATTAGCACAATAAAACATTGTTTTTTGCTCACCTCAAAGTGCAGTGTGGCTCGGAGATCTTTGACGTTTGCATTCATTTGAAGACTCAGGTTCCTTCCACAGAAGGCTCCAGGGGCATCTGCATCACTGAGGTGGTAAATGGGGAAGGAAAGAGAGAGTGGAGAAGACGTAGGTACTTTTAACTCTCTTCATTATCTTCACCTGAACATGACAATCCACTTTCTCCCACTTTTCATTGGGAGCAGTAATCACATAGCAGCACTTGGATGCAATAAAGCTGACCAGTATGGTTTAGCTATTTGTCCTTGAAGAAAAACATAAAATAAGTAAGGGTTTAATGAACATATAGCATTGTCTCTACTACTATGTTTTGTTTTGTTTTGTCAAATGTACATTACACTCTTATTCCTACCAAGGCCATATTATAATGTTTGTTACTTTTGTAAAAACTAAGTTTTCATTAACATTTAGAAAATTTTACCTTCAGGGGATGCTTCCTTTATGCAAACTGTTAAAAAATATATTTTATAACTGCATTGGTAGGAAGGTAAATATGTTAATAACATATAATAAAATTTGACCTAAGAATCTATTTCCTCTTTGGATGTTAACATAAAAACATTTGTGTGGGACCCTAAAAGTATTGTGGGCCCTAGGCCTCATAACTACTTTACCTAATGAATAAAGTGACTCTGCTTCCCACAAGTGAAATCCTATCACTTGCCCTAAGAGAGATGACCCAAAGCACCGTACAGGCACTGCATCAAAGTTAAGGTCCAGAAGCTTCCAGTGATCTGCAGTCCCCTCCATCAAGTATAAATATGATTGTTCTTGTGTGAAAAACGATAAAATAAAGGGATTAGTTGTACACATTACACAATATACAAAGTTGAACCAGGGGAAAAATATTCTCCACGAAATCTCTCACTTGTAAAAAGTAAGCAAGCCAACCCAAATGCGCATCGATGATAGACTGAATAAAGAAAATATGGTACATATATACCATGGAGAAAAGGAACAAGATCGTGTCATTTGCAGAGACATAGATGAAGCTGGAAGCCATTATCCTCAGCAAGCTAACATAAGAACAGAAAAACAATGTTATCACTTATAAGTGGGAGCCAAACAATGAGAACACATGGACACAGGGAGGAGAACAACACACACTGGGACCCCTTGGGGAGTGCAGAGGCAGGGAGAGAGAGCATCAGGATAAATACCTAATGCATGCTGGGCTTAGTACCTAGGTGGTGGATTGATAGGTGTGGCAAACCACCATGGCACAAGTTTACCAATGTAAGAAACCTGCATGTCCTGCCCATAGTATCCCAGAACTTAAATAAAATAAAATAAAATAAAATAATTTGTTTAAAAAAGTAAGCAAGCCCAGTCACTGCTGGTTCATTGAGTGATAGAATTCTAAGGATATTAGAATATTGTGGGACAAGCATTGTGTGGTTTCTCAGACTTGGCAGTGAATTACACTTCCTTTATCCAGTTTGGCTCTGTTTCTTAAATCTTTCTCCTCCACCCCCAACCCTTAGCATAGTCGTTGCCCCAGCCCTCAAGAGATCTTTCATGGGCATATTTTATCATCCTTTTGTTTGTTTATTATCCTCCATAGACATATTTTCAGTAGCATTTGAGCGTGTTTTCTATGGGGGCTGTGCGATAATCACAGTAGCCTAGCCTCAAAAAAGTATCAGCCTACAAAAAGTAAGCCTTCGGAAGAACAAGATCATTTGAGAAATTAACCTTGCTTCATGAAAATGAGCTAGAAATGAGTACTTGAAGCAGTAAACCTTGATGAATGCTAAGGGGGCAAATCAGGCTGAAGATCATTGGTTTGGCAAGTGATAGAGCTACAATTGCAAAACTTAAACCCCCATTCCCAGTCATTCCAGGAGAAGGACTGATGCTCCACCAAATATGAATGCTGAAGAGGAACCAGGTTGGAGGAAGACACTGATCTCATTTCACAGCAGAAACTAGAAACACTCTTAAAACTCAGGTTGTGTTCACATTAGGAAAGGGAATTAAGTTTCTGAAATCACGCATTTTGTTGACTCCACAGCTCAAAGTTAAGGGGTCATCTCCTGCTGGAGATGTAAACTCTTTAAAAATTATATTTTATGTCTCAGTTTCTTCCTTTAAGTCAAGAGCAGAGCACTCGAGTATTGAGAGAAGAGAAGGTAAGAAACTGGTCAGGCAGGCAGTTAAGGTGGGTCCTTGGTAAAACTCCTTCAAACAAAGAACAAGCTGAAAATCAAACTGCAGGCCCTAGATAAGAAATATTCTGTGTCCTTGAATGGAAACAGCTACTGTGTGAACCCAGATGAACAAATTCCACTCCTTTTTTGGTCATATTTCTCTCTCCTTGTCACGCCTTAGTCTCTTACTTTTCACCTACATTATATACGCCTACCTTTCTGTGATTGGCCATAGGCTGAGTCTTCATTTACTTAGGATAAATCATCACTTCAGCCCCTGATTGGTCTTATGCCAAGGTCTCGGACCAAGCCTTCACCTCTGCCTCTAATTGGTTCTTTGCACTATCATACCTCTTTCTAAGTGGTGCTTTCTCCAAGATGGCCTACAGACCAGTCAGCACACTCATCTCCCTCCAGTTCATAAAAACCCTCAGACTCAGCTTCATAGCTGGCAGCCATCTTTCAGGCCCCCTCTCCACTGTGAGGATCTTTCCTCTTTTGCTTATTAAACTTTTGTTCTAACCTCACTCTTTGTGTCCACATGCCTTAATTTTCTTGGTTGTGAGACAAAAAACTCCAGGTATGACCTCAGACGATAAGGCTACTACAATATTAGAAGTGTAAATCTGTGTTTAACCAAATTGAATCATTATTTTAATATATTTTATTTAAATAATATTTATATTTTTATAATAGCTATAATCATTTTTAATAGTGGTAAAATAAACACATTTGAAAATTTAGCATGTTAATCATTTTTACAGTTCAGTGGCATTAAATACATTCACATTGTTATACAACTATCCCTACCATTCATCTCAAGAGCTCTTTCCATCTTGAGAAACTGAAACTGTACTTCCTTAAATAGTAACTCTTTATTCACTTTTCTTCCTAGCCTATTCTAAGTACCATTCTACTTTTTAGCTCTATGAATTTGACTACTCTAAGGTCCTCGTATCAGTGTAATCATGCAGTATTTGTCCTTTTGTGACTGGCTTATGTATCTTAACACAGTGTCCTCACGTTTCATTCATGTTATATAGCAAGTGTAAGAATTTTCTTCCTTTTAAAAGCTAAATAACATTCCATTGTATGTATGTACTACATTTTATTTATCCATTCATTTGTCCATGAACACTTGGGTTGCTTCAACAATAATACGATTTGCATGTTAGCAAATTCTAAGACCTTTATGTTTTTAAAATCTTGGACTGTTACTATATTGAGTTAATGTATGGATCTTAAATAGATAGCGTGTGTTATTTCTAAGTAAAAGAATGCTGAAATATTAACTACTAAGCATAATTTTAAGGTGTACTTTTTTGTTGTTTTTTAATGCAAATTAGGAACTTTATACATTTGAATTTGTTAACAAATGTGTTAATTTTGTCCACTTTAAGAACTTTCACTGCAAGGGAAATGTATAGATATATAAAAAGCTGTAAAAGTGTCAGGGAAAGGGAATTTGCCTTCATGAAGACTAAGGTCTGATGGGATTTTTATAAGATTTTCAAAAAGAGCTTCAGTATGAGATACTAAACTCACAAAAAGGTAGAATTTGGTTTTCTGTCTATTAAAATGGCAAATGTTTTTGTATAATTGTTGTGCTGTCAATAAGTGACTGTAAAAACTTTTTCTTTTTTTTTTTGGCTGGGCACAGTGCCGCACGCCTGTAATTCCAACACTTTGGGAGTCCGAGGCAGGTGTATCACCTGAGGTCAGGAGTTCGAGACGAGTCTGGCCAACACAGTGAAATCCTTTCTGTACAAAAATTAAAAGAAAAAAAATTAACCAGACATGATGGCACGTGCCTGTAATCCCAGCTACTCGGGAGGCTGAGGTGGGAGAACTGCTTGAACCCGGGAGTTGGAGGTTGCAGCGAGCCGAGATTGAACCACTGCACTCCAGCCTGGGTGACAGAGTGAGACTCTGTCTAAAAAAAAAAAAAAAAAAAAAAAAAGTTATTTTTTAAACTGTGTGCAGTCTGCCTGGATAGCAGTTTGTGTTTTACCAAAATAATTTTCCTTGTTTTATGTTGGCTTTATTATGTCCATGATTATTTAAGAAAACTACAGTGTTTTTACTTAGAAAAGAGTCAAGGTTTTTCATAATCATGGTAACTTCCATATTTACTTTATTTTTTTTATTATACTTTTTAAGTTCTAGGGTAGATGTGCACAACATGCAGGTTTGTTACATATGTATAGATGTGCCATGTTGGTTTGCTGCACCCATTAACTCGTCATTTACATTAGGTATATCTCCTAATGCTATCCCTCCCCCAGCCCCCTACCCCACAACAGGCCCCGGTGTGTGATGTTCCCCACCCTGTGTCCAAGTGTTCTCATTGTTCAATTCCCACCTATGAGTGAGAACATGCAGTCTTTGGTTTTCTGTCCTTGTGATAGTTTGCTCAGAATGATGATTTCCAGCTTCATCCATGTCCCTACAAAGGACATGAACTCATCCCTTTTTATGACTGCATAGTATTCCATGGTATATATGTGCCACATTTTCTTAATCCAGTCTATCATTGATGGACATTTGCATTGGTTCCAAGTCTTTGTTATTGTGAATAGTGCCACAATAAACATATGTATGTGTGTGTCTTTATAGTAGCGTGATTTATAATCCTTTGGGTAGATACCCAGTAATGGGATTGCTGGGTCA
Source organism: Homo sapiens (assembly GCF_000001405.40). NCBI lineage: Eukaryota > Metazoa > Chordata > Mammalia > Primates > Hominidae > Homo > Homo sapiens. Next base: position 30,186,591 of record NC_000009.12, on the reverse strand, counting down.
AATGGTTTTCTAGCTCTAGATCCTTGAGGAATCGCCACACTGTCTTCCACAATGGTTGAACTAGTTTACACTCCCACCAACAGTATAAAAGTGTTCCTATTTCTCCATGTCCTCTCCAGTACCTGTTGTTTCCTGACTTTTTAATGATCACCATTCTAACTGGTGTGAGATGGCATCTCATTGTGGTTTTGATTTGCATTTCTCTGATGGCCAGTGACGATGAGCATTTTTTCATGTATATGTTGGTTGCATAAATGTCTTCTTTTGAGAAGTGTCTGTTCATATCCTTTGCCCACTTTTTGATGGGGTTGTTTGTTTTTTTTCTTGTAAATTTGTTTGAGTTCTTTGTAGATTCTGGATATTAGCCCTTTGTCAGATGGGTAGATTGCAAAAATTTTCTCCCATTCTGTAGGTTGCCTGTTCACACTGATGGTAGTTTCTTTTGCTGTGCAGAAGCTCTTTAGTTTCATTAGATCCCATTTGTCAATTTTGACTTTTGTTACCATTGCTTTTGGTGTTTTAGTCATGAAGTCCTTGCCCATGCCTGTGTCCTGAATGGTATTGCCTAGGTTTTCTTCTAGGGATTTTATGGTTTTAGGTCTAACATTTAAGTCTTTAATCCATCTTGAATTAATTTTTGTATAAGGTGTAAGGAAGGGATCCAGTTTCAGCTTTCTACATATGGCTAGCCAGTTTTCCCAGCACCATTTATTAAATAGGGAATCCTTTCCCCATAGCTTGTTTTTCTCAGGTTTGTCAAAGATCAGATGGTTGTAGATGTGTGGTGTTAGTTCTGAGGGCTCTGTCCTGTTCCATTGATGTATATCTCTGTTTTTGTACCAACATTGTCAATTGTTTAACTAGACAGCCATGCATTGTTTCTCAGTAACCTATAATCATACCTCAACTGAATGTTCAACTATTCTCAAAACTTTTGATACTTTGCCTTCTCAAAAACAAATGTTAACTGATATCTTTTGCACATATAATTGTCTTTCAAGTTTCCCAGAGGGCCCATGGAAAATCACAAAGGATTTATTTTTTTCATCTTTTAAAAAGAAATGTGCAAGAAATAACCTAACTTACTTGATATGTTACTATTCATAAGTTACATAGCAAGGGTGGTCAAATAAAAAGAGATACTCAGCCTTCCCATGGGTATATTAGTATAGGTACAAACTTATTTATATGAATATTTTAGAAAATTTTATGGCACATGAAAAGTCCTGAAAATTTATCAGTGCCTTTGTTGTTTGTGATATGATTCTATCTGCTTAGACAACACAGATAGTATATCAGTCATAATTGCAATTATATTTAAAATGTTAACTTGGTTGCAACTTTACTTCTTTAATGTGAATCTAGCATCTTCTTTGCCAGTAATTTTCAAGGTAGGAGTCACACTCCTAACCTATGGAGTTTTGTTATTATAAAGATGTTTAGGCTTGTTCCAGACTTACTGAATCTCTTTGCTATATAACATTGATACTTTCTTAGTATATTCTAAAAATATGCCTAATGTATTTATGAAATATTATATCAGGATTATTATATGCAGTTTTTTCTGTAAATTATGTTTATTTTATAAGCCACTTATATCTACTCTTCTTTGAAAATGGAATACATTATTATTTATAGATTTTTATCTAAAACTTTGTTGTCAGTTACGTTATTCTCATAATAAGCTCTCATTGCATCTTTTGCTATAGAAAATTACTAATTTTGGGCTGGGCACAGTGGATCATGCCTGTAATCTCCGTAGTTTGGGAGGCCAAGGCGAGCAGATCACTTGAGGTAGGGAGTTTGACACCAGCCTGGCCAACATGGTGAAATCTTGTCTCTACTGAAAATACAAAAATTAGCTGGGTATGGTGGCACATGCCTCTAGCCCCAGCTAATCTGGAAGCTGAGGCAGGAGAATTGCTTGAACCTTGGAGGCAGAGGTTGCAGTGAACCCAGATCAGGCCAGGACATTCCAGCCTGGGTGACAGAGCGAGACTCCATCTCAAAAAAAAAAAAAAAATTACCAATTTAACTACAGCCATTTCATGATTTTTGTAATCGACTTTTTTGTTTCATTATGATGCTTCCCTAAAAGCTCTGCATCAGTTACATTTGAGAGTGCTTTATCTGCAACAGACAAGGACTATCTCAGAGACATGTAGAAAAGCACTATATCAGGTATTTGGGGGTACAGGCCTATGATGGTATTATTTAAGCAATTTTGAGACTACACCAGTGAACTAAATCAGGATTTTTACATTTCTAGTAGAGAAAAAAATGGATTCATCAGAATGTTAACTCAATATCAGTTGGAACAAAAATTAATTACATAGGACAGAATTAACTGATAAAAGATGATCACGGGTATTGTTTGGAATATTGCTGCTGTTTTAAGATACTATTTTCTGAGTATGTTATCAAACATTTCATCTTTTTTATAAGTAAATATAACTTATAATAATTTAGTGGAGTATGCTTTTGTAAGCTGAAGACAAAATATTTAATAATGACAATCTTTTCTCCTACTAAGCCCTCCAGAATTTAGAAGTTCTTATTGAATATTCTTGTTGTCAGGGCAATATAGTTATTCGCGTAGCTTTAATTCGAATCTATCCACCTTAATACAAAGACATACTTGATAACTTTGGTTTTACAGCCAAGGCCTTGCCTAAAATATCATATTTGAGAATGATGTTCATTTATTTTGATATTACAACACACTTCTAAGGAACTAAGGCCAATTTTATGGAGGCAATGCTTACAAAACTCTCTTGGGATAACTTCCCTGGTACCTGGCTTATAGTCTATCAAGTCTTAGGGATGCATTACGAAAATAATTCCTGGAAGGTCTAGTAACCTTGTGATATTTTGGGAACTTCAGAAAGAAAGGAATTTTCCCACATTTATAGCAACTATATGCATTATCTTCTGGTAAATTTTTGGCTTGTCTTTCTAGCTTCAAGAGGCTTTTCAAAGCCTAATCTGAGATTCCTTATTACAACTTTCAATAAAGTAAATTTAAGAAAGCCTATAAGGCAAATATGACAGTTTTATGTATAAACTTGGCCAGGATATATTACCCAGTAATTTGATCAAACATGGATCTTGGTGTTGCTGTGAAGGTATTCTGTAGATGTGGTAAACATTTATAATCAGTTGACCTTAAAAGTAAAGGAGAGTACCTTCATAACGTTGGTGGATGTTTTTTAATCACTTGAAAGGCCTTAGAGCAAAACTGAAGTTTATCAGAGTTTTGAAAAGGAAATACTGCCTCAAGACTGCAACATATTAATAAGAATGGCTATTAATAAAAAAGTAAAAAAAAACAGATGCTGGCAAATTTGTGAAGAAAAGGAAACACTTATACACTTCTGGTGAGAATGTAAATTAGTTCAGCCGTTGTGGAAAGCAGTGTGGTGATAAACAGAACTACCATTCGACCAAACAATCCCATTATTGGATATATACCGAAAGGAATATAAATCATTTTACCATAAAGATATATGCACATGTATGTTTACTGCAGAACTATTCACAAGCGAAGACATGGAATCAACCTAGATACCCATCGATGGTAGATTGGATAAAGAAAATGTGTACATATACACCATGGAATACTACATAGCCGTGAAAAGAATGAGATCATGTCCTTTGCAGCAACATTATCTGGAGATCATTATCCTAAGGAAAATATCTCAGGAAGAGAATACCAAATATAGCATGTTCTCACTTGTAAGTGGGAGCTAAAATATTGAGTATACATGAACACACACAAGGGAATAATAGACAAGGGGACCTACTAGAGGATGGAGGGTGGGAGGAAGGTGAGGATTGAAAAACTACCTTTTGTATACTATGCTTATTACCTGGGTGACAAAATAACCTGTACACTAAACCCCTGTGACATGCAATTTACCTATATAACAAAGCTGCACATATACCCCTGAAACTAAAAGTTTAAGGAAAAAAGACTGCAACATTAGCTTTTGCCTGCAAATTACCAGCATGCCTTTCAGATTCGAGACTTGCTGACTCCCAAAATTATATAGGTGAATTCTTTGAAATAAATAATACATATTTATATATATTCTGTTTCCTTAGAAAACCCTGACTGACACCAATTTTGGTACCAGGAAGTGGGGAGATGCTTTAACAAATATTAAAAATTTAGAAATGGCTTTGGAATTATGTAATGAACAGAAGCTAAGTATTTCTGAGACACAAAATAGAAAATACTAGATTTCTGAGATTATTGGTATAAATATAGATTGTTAAAGGCAATTGTGAGAGCTCAAATAAGTAATAACTGTACATAATGCTTTCATCATTATAAAGTTACATGTATTGTCACGAATAAGGAATTGCTAAGAAACATGAATGTTGGTCAGGCACGGTGGCTCACGCCTGCAATCCCAGCACTTTGGGAGGCGAGGCGGGCAGATCACGAGGTCAGGAGATCGAGACCATCCTGGCTAACACGGTGAAACCCGTCTCTACTAAAAATACAGAAAATTAGCCGGGCATGGTGGCAGGCACCTGTAGTCCAAGCTACTCGGGAGGCTGAGGCAGGAGAATGGCGTGAACTCGGGAGGTGGAGCTTGCAGTGAGCCGAGATCGAGTCACTGCACTCCAGCCTGGGGCACAGAGTGAGACTCCGTCTCAAAAAAAAAAAAAAAAAAGAAAGAGAAATATGAGTGTTACATGTGCTTCTAGTGAAAGCTCACATGGAAATGAGGCACATAGAACTGGATGATGAAAGGAAGAAGATCCTTATCATGAAGTGGCAGGAAACTTGCCTCAACTGTGTTCTACCATTTGATGGAAAGTAGATCCTGTCAGAAATAAACATGGATACTGAGCTGAGGAGATTTTCAGGCAAATTGTGGAAGGTATGACCTTACTTCCTCCTTACAGCTTATAGTAAAATGTAAAAAAAAAAAAAAATAGAGAGAGAGGAAGAAAGAAAGAGAAAGGAAGGAAGGAGGGAAGGAAGGAGAAAAGAAAAGAAAAAAAGAAAAGAAAAAAGAAAGAAACAGAGAAAGGACATTTTAATAAAAAAGAACTAAAACTTGATAATTTGGAAAATTCTCAACCTCTCCAGATAACCAAGATGAGCAAGCATGTGGTTAGAAGAATGCCAAGGGTATAGCTAGACAACTTTTGCTAAAAAGATTATGTGTGTGACTCATGGATTCAATCAACTATCTCAGCAGAAGCCAAGAATAAAGATGAGTTATCCAAAAAATGTCTTTGGAGGAACCTCTTGTCTAATGGCTTGGACCCCCATGAATTGCACAGGCGACCAATAAGGTTTTTGAAAATGTTGCATTGGCAGAAACATTGCTAGCCTGGAATTAAAGAGATTATGATATTTTACATCTGAATTATAAACTTCATTCAGTGAAATTTGATCCTGTTTTACTATATTTTTTTCCAGTGTCTGTACTACTGCTTTTAGCTACTGTGAGGTTTCTTTCTGTTCTCTACTTAGGAATGCTTATTATCTATAGATAAATTTTTCTAGATGATTCTTTTATATTATTACAATTTTCCCCTTTCTGTCTTCTAACAATTTACTTTGGCAAAGCTGGAATTTATATATCACTAATATTCTCAATATTCTATACGTAATTATGTATTGTTATTTTTATTATTAACTGTATGATTATTTTTAATCTGATACTAATCCCATTTCGTTGAGTATATGTTGTCTATAGTTTCATTTGAGGTAGATTTCAAGTGTTGTGTTAAGTGTTTATAAAGTCACCTGTCCTCTCATTTTAACTCCCAGAGAGATGGGCTGGGGTATTTGTTTCTGACTTTGTTGGGGAGGATGTAGCTGAGAATGGATGTTAGATAAGTATCTTTCTAGATTATTGAAACACTTTATTGGTACTCAAAACCTGCATTTTAGTTCTAGTCACTCTCCTGTTGTATTAGTTTATTTTAGAAATTATTATTTTATATTTGCTGAATATTTTATTGGTTTTCAGTGTTTCTTCCTATAGTTTATAAGGAATTTAGAGTTTGTTTTCAGTAACCTTCACAACTCTAATTCATCTAGAGTTCCCAGTAAAATTGTGACAGTGCCCATATTACTTTTTACAAAAGCAATGAAAAAGAGCTGAAATGCCTCCTGACCATTTTCCAAACTGATTTATCTAAAAGCCACACAAATGAACACATTTCCCAGAGAAATCAAGTTTCTTATAAGAGATATCTGGCACTGACATATTATTCAATAAAACTAAGTACTTCCTAAGGCAACCTATCTAGAGCATTTCTCAAGAGGACTACATTACTAACTGCTGAAAGAATCCTCCGCAAAGTAAACAAGTTCACAAAATCAAGAATAGCAATGAAAACATATCTATATCTATTGGTGCTTTGTTTTAAAGTCAGGATTAAATACAAAAACTTACTTACATTGCAAGTATGTCTTTATGTATTCAGGTGCATATTATATTGTGCCTTATTTCCAATTTTGTTACTGATTTAGAAATATAAAGATTATAGTTTTTATATTTATTTGTTAACTTTTTTCTGTTGAAAATATATTTGTTTAACATGATTGTATGTTTTAGTGTCAAATATTAAGAATCTGATTTTAAATAGGTATTCTTTTGAATATTTTAAATGATTATTTATTAGAATATAGATGCTGCTTTTTATTTATATCATTAAAAATATGGAGTGTAGTGCACTTTATTAATTGAGAAGGAACTGCAACAATAATTACAAAATAATGTATTAAATTAAATTGGGAGCAAATGTATGCACATGTGTAATAGAGACAGGGAATGGAAGCAAATAGGAAGTACAAAAATTGCTTGCAAAGTGTCTTAGTTTGGGCTGCTATAACAAATTACCATAGAGTGAGTAGCTTATTAACAATATTAATTGATTTCTCATAGCTCTGGAAGCTAGAAGCCAAAGATCACGGTGCTAGCATAGTCAGGTTCTGTTGAGAACCCTCTTTCAGCTTACAGCCTGCTGTCCTTTCATTGTATTCTCACAGGCTGGAAAGAGAGTAAGAAAGCTTTCTGGGGTCTCTTTTATACCAGCATTAATCCCATTCATGAAGACCCCACCCTCATGACCTAAATTTACATCTGTAAGTGTCTATCTCTCAAAACCATGAAACTTGGGGTAAGAATTTCAACATATGAGTTTTGCAGGGAAGTAAACGTTCAATCGATAACGCAGAGGTTAACAAAAATCTGGTGAGTGTTATTTGACTGTTATTTCTGGGAATAGCATTGTAAATAAACTAAAAAATAAAATGCTTTCTACATCTTTTCATTAATAAATGAGATATTTTCTATATTTTCTAGAATATTCATGACACACTGAGTATTCTACCAAGAATCTGTAATTGCATACGATAGGAATTTGAATATTTTTGTTTCTCATCTTTAGTATGAAATTAGTAACATTTGATTTTCATGGATATGTGCTTTTTATATAAAACAATATTGAGGACTCTTTCTATTATCAAGAAATTTCTGTCTAGATTCTAGGACTAAAGAAAAAGAGAGATATCATAAATAATCAGTTTTCCTGGACATTGTTAAAGAAGCATTTGAAACAGTTGTGCCACTTCAAAACATTGTCCTAACAGTTCCCTTCCCTCCCAGACTAACACAGACCCTTAGTCTACATAAGAAGAGTGAGAAAAAATCTGCAGGGTCATAAGTTATCAACATAACACAAGGGAAATGGAGAAATTCCAAGAAAATTACTTAGGGCAGTTGGGGTTTAGGTTGCTTCATGTTGGGTGAAGCTAGCATGTGCTCAGACAATGGACCTGTGATAGTTGCCTATGCAGATGTGAGCAGGCAGGAGCCAGGACTGACATGGTTAGGTTCTTGGTGTTTCTTTTCTGTCTTATTTAAAGTTAACCTGTTCTTTCTTTCCTCACTCCATTGAGATTTAAATTTACAATGTGATGGTCACTTCTAAATTAATGAAAAAGATGTATAAATAACCATGACTAAAGGACTGGAGGAGGATCCTTTTGTAGTTCATAAGTGTGATGATTAGGTTTTCACATTTGTGTGTGAGATGTATCTCCCTCAAACATTTTATGACATCGGCATATTATCCTTCTGATGTAAAAAGAAAAAAAAGTACTAGAGGAAATACACTTGTCTAGTAATATAGAAGTAGACCTGGCCATCTCAAATCATGTAAAAAAAATAGAAATTAATAAATCAACTAAAGTTTACATTGTTTTTTATTTTCTGCTCATACACTTGTCTCATATTTTTTGTCTTCAAAAACATTCTCAGAGACAAGTACATTTAGAGATGATCCCAGAATTGTTTGTATAGAAATAGAAAGTGAGAATCTCATTATCAAGAGGATTTGCCATACAATTGTTGTGGAACTCTTACTAATATAAGACTTACACTTTATAACAAGCTACGATATTTCCTACTACAAAATATATTTTCAAACAATAACTTTCTAGCTTTCTGGCCCTTTGACATGAAAAGAATCAAAAGAAAAAAAGTTTCTTGTTACATCCTATTTTCTATTCTTTGATTTTGTTTCATTTTTTCCTGAGTGCACACTGGGCATGAGGCCTTTCTCACATTTTAAGATTAAATAAATTGAAAAAATATCTTTTCTTAACAATAAGTTGAAGTGAGAAACTAATTTTTCACTCTAACATGTAAATCTTTATCTTTTATGTTTAAAATTTATTTTTATTCTCTCAATTATGGAAATATATATCATGATATCTGCATGCATTGAATGAGATGCAGTGAAATAAATAATTTTCTTTGAATTGTGTATCATATGCTTTGATGTCAGTGAGAAGTCTTGTGCTCTTTTCCACATCTTGACTTTGCCATTTATACAGCTTACAGTTGTAGTTCACAATTACAATAACAGGAGAAATAACATGATTCTTGCTGTGGTCATTGTTATTGAAGTGTTTTTCAACAACTTATCATTAAACTTGAGGAAAAGCTTTGTGTTTTTCTACATTTTATTTAACTTTCAATATGCTATAAAAACCCCGACAGATGATAGATATTAACTTCTATCAACAAGAATTCTTCACATGGAAATAAGTGGCTAATCAGAACAACAATTTGTATGTATTACTACCATCACAAGTGAAACTGTAGGTATTTTAGTTGACAAGTTTGACCTACTGGATTCTAAGATTAAAAGTGAAATGAGGTCAAAAATACATTGTGCTAAAGAGCACCATATATAGAACATTATCTCCAGTACTTCATTTTACAAATAATAAAAGAGGCTCAGAAATTTTAAGGTTTTGTTTATAGTAAGAAAGTTAGTGCCTTAGAGAGCTCTAGGCTAGACTTCATTCACCTGCATGTTTGCCTAGCGGTTTTTCATTTTTCATGCTCTCTCAAGTATACAGAGATCAAAGCTAAATAAAGAAGCAAAAAGGACTGTAACTTACAGTGTCTCATAAATTATGTTTATATTTGAGAAAGAATAGGTAAGTTAAAATATAGATGCAAACAATTTCATAAAGCTATCTTTTCTCTAACTTTACAGAATAACAAAATCACTGAATGATAACTTCCTCAAATTTATTTTCAATCTGCAAACATATCTACACAACCATTTTTTATTTTCTTGTTTCTTTTGGTTGCAACAGAATAGTTTCTTAGACCTGTTGAAAGCAATGGTCTCCACTTGTGCTTCTGTGTCTCATCCACAGACAAGAGTCTTCTCTGGACCCTCACTCACTTTTCTGTACACTATTCATCTTTCCCTCTCTGGAAAATCACTCCTGTGATTCTTTAAATACACTTGAGCCTCTCTCACCATAAAGGAAGTCTTTGAACACCCTACTGTTCTCAACTACTCCATTAACTAGCTAGCTCCTCTTCTTCACCGTCATCATGAAAGAATAGCATGTATTTGCTCTCTGCATGTCTTCACCGCTCATTCACGCTTAAACTATTAGAATGTGATTTACAGCACTAAACTCAAATTGCTCAGAAAGCATCAGTGGCTTCTTCATTACTACAATCAATAAAGTGTTCTCAGTGATACCCTTCCTTGATTGTGCTAGCATCTAAGAATTTTTATCATTTCTTCGTCAAACTTTCTTCTTCACTGGCATAACTCATTCTGTAATTCTGGTTGTCAATTCACGTTTTTTTGGTTTCTTCTTTTTTAATGTCTTTTTTGGGGGGCTCCACTTCTTGAACATGTGTGTTAAATATTGTTCACAGTTCTTTCTATGGACTATTTTCATTTTACATTTCCTAGATGCAGTCATTCATTACCATAGTGACTTCAATAATCATTTGATGACTTCAAATCAAACAGCTATAACATTAGTGCTGATGTTCAAATCCATACATCTAGGAATGGTTTGCCATGTCCAGCTATTTGTTTTACAAACTACATGAACTATGATTCCAAAAATGAATACAACTTCTCCTTTTACAAAAATGCTCCTATTATTGAATACCATCTTTCTATCCTCATCATTCACACCAGCTCTTTCCACCACAATTCATATCAATAAATTACAGAGCCCCATTTTTTCAACTCCCACATATATTTTCTAACAACATAGGATACACATTTAATTCCCTAGATTAACTCAACAACTTTCTAAATAATCCCACTGTCTCTAGTCTTACTTACAACTAATCCACACTTCACAGGGAGATCAGGATGATCTTTTTAAATGCAAATGTAACCGTATTGTTCTGCTCCACAAAATCTTTCCATGACTCCCTACTATGTTTAAGATAAAAGCCATAGATCATAGCCATAGATCATAGATAGTTTGTAAGGTTTTCTCTACACTTATGTTTCCAGTTTACCTCTAATCACTATCTCCGACTACAAAATAGAATTATTTTGTATTCTTCAGATCTTTAAATGCTTCACGCTTGCTCTCATGTTTTCTCATTCCTTATGAGTCTTGTTTGGAATATACTGTGCCCCTGTCTTTCATAGCCTGTAGCCCCTATGTGTTACCCTAGCAAACTGTAGTCCCTCTCCTTTAACTAGTAGTGTAACAGAGTATAATTAATGACTTGTCTGTCAACTCTAAAACATACTGTTAGCTCCATAATGTCGGGACCATGCTCTTCTCATTGTTCATTACTTAGCCCGAAAGTAGCATAGTGCCTGGCAATCATAATAGCTAAGTAAACACTGGTGGCATAAGAGAATATTTCATCTTTGCAGCAGCAGTCAGATAATTGAAATCTATATTTGTTTTCTATTTTAGGTTGTCAAATGTGTTATGGAATATCCTTAGGAAATGAATCTGTATGGTATCTGACAGTCTCAATACTACCATGTATTATTTTCCCTCTCATGGGAAGTAGATCTGACTGTTCCTAATATTTTTAATCCCCTAGTATGCTGAGGTGTCTGTGTCCAAGCTAAAAAAAAAAGATGTGCCTCTCTTGTAAGTAGTAAGAATGGTCAGTATCTGAAGGTCATATGTTAACAGTTAATTTTCTTTTCTTTTTCTTTCTTTCTTTCTTACATTTTTTTTTTTTTTTTGAGATGGGGCCTCACTCTGTCACCCAGTCTGAAATGCAGTGGCATGATCTCAGCTCACTGTGACCTTGCCTCCCAGGCTCAAGTGATCCTCCCACCTCAGTGTCTCCCATGTAGCTGGAACCACAGGCACATGTCACCATGCCCAGCTAATTTTTCTGTTTTTGAAGAGACGGGGTTTCACCATATTACCTAGGCTGGTCTCGAACTCCTGAGCTCAGGTGACCCACCCATCTTGGCCTCCCAAAATGCAGGATTACAGGTGAGCCACCATGCCTGGCCTCAAGAGTTAATTTTTATATAACTATTATATCACAACAAAAAAGCTGTTTATTCCAAATTTCTCTTTGAACATTTTACTTAGTTTTTTTCACACTAAGTTAAGAAAAAACCTACATAGCCTCTGTAAGTGTAAATAAGAACATATGTGTGTGATAGGGTAAGTGGAAGTCAACATGTGCCTTTAATTTTCACCCAAAATGAAAAAATACAATATTTGACAAATCAACCTCTAAATGAGTTTCCAACTACCAACTCTTAACAACAATGTCTAGGGTCATCTTATATCAAATAACAGACAAGATCTTCTCTTCTTCATCTCCATCACTGAGTAAATGATCAAATCTGTAGTCCTGATTTGGAAATTTAAGTTTCCCACCACAGGTGAAAGTCCAAAGGTTAAATATAATAAATAGAATCTCATTCTCTTGCTGTCTCACTGTGTCATTGGGATTTTAAAAAATCTAAATTTATTCTAATTCAGAGCGAAGAGATATGTCCGCTTCATCATACTCTACATAACACTAACCTTTTATTGCAAATTCTTTTAGTTATGTCATTTTTATACTATGAAAGTCTTTCACAGATTACTAACTCAAGAACAGACAGGGAATGCAAATTTGTGTTTTTTTCTTTCACACTAATTATAAAGGTCATTCTCCAAAACAATGTATCTTTTTTCTTTCAATTTTAATGAAGGAAAGCACAGAATATTACAAATGCAGTAGTTTAAAAATGTGCAAAGTTATCTCTTTGATATCAAGTACCATTCAGCAAATATTTATACGATACTTACTAGTTTAAGAAACTGTTAGATTGTTATGTTGTCAATTTAAAGAAATATTTGTTTTCTACTGTGGGGTTTCTAGTCCAGAGGGAGGATGTGATGTGAAAACCAAATTACAGGATTACAACTTGAAAAAGTATCAAGAAATACAGTAATAATAATTGTTGCTGACATTTGTTGAACACTTACTAAACATTTTACTGAATGTATATAAAGTTGTGCTGCCAGATTTTAGTTTAAAATTGTGGCAAGAAATAATTGATATTTATAAAAATAGCAAGTATACTTTTCCACAATTGCTTTGAATTTATAGCCACAGAAATATGCTTAAAGAGGATAAGTGATTTGCCCAATATTTTAGAGGTTGTGAGTTGACAAGCCATGATTTTGGCCTTGGAAACTTGCTGTACAACCTCTATTAATCATTTAAATTACTTAACTACTTAATCATTTTAACTTAGTAAATTAATTTTCATCTGATCTTTTTGTTGTTAGTAATTTGAAAGTTTTATATCAAGTTTGTAACTTCCTTTACTCTATTATCATTAAGTGTCTTTGACATAGCAATGATATTATTGTATTGCCTTTGTCAACTACCAGCTGACTTTCATCTACGTTTTGTCTTATGAGACAGTAGAAGTATGTCTAATTCATCTTTACATGGCAATCTTAATATGGCAACTGAAATAAAGGGGCTGCTCAATAAATACCTGGTGGAAAATTAGTTTTATTAGAAATATCTGCTTTAACTTTGTTAAACCCATCCTTCCTTAACCTCTTCTTTTTTCCTAACAACAGATAAAATAAAAATAAGTATATAAATCTAAGTACAAGAATTATTTGATAATTTTTAAGTGAATCTGGGGCTTTGAGAAAAAAAGAGCCAAGAAAAATATTAAAGAAAAGAAAAGAGACACATTGAGACCAAGGGGTGATATATTTAACATTTTGACTTTTGGAAGGCTTGTTATATTATAGAAGCAAATGAATTGATAAACAATATAGTCTAATCAAATTATTATAGAATATTTTCAGTAAACAAGGGGTAGTTTAAATGCTTCTAAAAAATTACATCAGCACTTTCTGTGTTTGTGTATGTGTTTAAATATTTTTTCATTTTATTAAAACATAAAATCTAAGAAAAATAAATAAATTATTAGAAAATAAGATATCATTACATCTGCATTTTCAGGCTTTGGTATATTCAGTTAATTTCTGACCTCTATGTGCCTCTCTATAATGACCATTGACAACAGAAACTACCCTCCCTCCAAAGGTAATAAAAGAATGTGATTGCTCTCTCTTTTCTCTTTCTACACATTTATAAACTTTGTCTCCTTCTACTATCTCACAGTTGCTCGAAATACAAGCTCTGCTTTTTTACTTACCCCTAGACATATGAGTCAAGTTTAGGAAGAAGGGTTATGTCAAAAGGAAAAGGGGAGGAGCAAGATGAAGGTAATCTAATGAAATAGTTTCATCCCCTTACCACCAGTGAGCCCATTGTGTGTTTTTAAATAATTTCATACAGTTTATGTGTCATCTCTTTATTTTTATTCTCTCCTTTCCCAGACTAGTGTTTTTATAAATAAGAGCCCTGACTCACCAGTGGGCCAGGAGTGATCTGCTTGTTAGACCATGAAACATTCATTTTGCTTACAAAAGTCTTTTATTATTACATATACGTAAGGGTTATTGTCTAATAACTTACCTAATAGGATGTTACTTAACAAAGCAGAAATGTTTTCCTAGTCCTAGCCACAAAAACTAAAGTGAAGTAGAGAAAAGTAGTTTGGAGCTAAACAAACAACTCGTCAACTGAATTATATGCAATATGTTAATTTTTTTTTAAATTTTCCTCACTGCTCCACTAGCTATACATTTCTAAAAAAGGAAAGAAAAAATGTGGTTCCATTGAATATCTAAAGGTCTTGAGATGTTGTTATCTTTTAGAAAATGTGAAGCTTTATTCATGTCACTCTTGAAACACTACAAAAATGTTCTTTTTTTCCATATCTCCAGTCATATTTCACATATATTGATCAATTGGGGTATGACTTTAGGTTAATAATAAATAAAATAATAAAAACATAAAAAAATTAAATACATATATTAAAAATGCATCACACTTTTTGTCTCTTAATCTAAATTTAATTAGCTTCAGTGCAGGACATTGAGTCATCAACTGTATCATTTACATGCAGTTGGCATTGTTATCTGTATAAAATTATTTTGTAGTTTCATTTTTGGAATGTGTATTTTTGGCACATAAATTTCACATCTGGAATAATATCAGTTGGAATAGTTTACTAGGTAAGAAAAGCCTAAGATTATAATAAAAGAATTATAATTTGGTGTGATTGTGACTTTCAATATATCATTCGTATTTATCCATTGTTTTGAAAAGGATAGTTTATGTTTATTAACAAATCAATTAATTTAAAAAGAATATTTTCAAATTTACTTTAGTTCTTGCTATAGAGAATCAAAGGGACATTAGGGACTTGAAATTCCTTTTGTATCTATGCAGAGCCTGCATTTTCCATGCAATACGCACTAGTGAGAATTTTCTTTTTTTTTTATTTTATTATTATTATACTTTAAGTTTTAGGGTACATGTGCACAATGTGCAGGTTAGTTACATATGTATACATGTGCCATGCTGGTGTGCTGCACCCATTAAGTTGTCATTTAGCATTAGGTATATCTCCTAATGCTATCCCTCCCCCCTCCCCCCACCCCACAACAGTACCCAGAGTGTGATGTTCCCCTTCCTGTGTCCATGTGTTCTCACTGTTCAGTTCCCACCTTTGAGTGAGAATTTTCAACATATGCAAATACTGGGGTTCAGCAATTTGTAGAGTTGCTTCAATTATTCAATTAACCATGCTTCTGAAGCTTTCCAATGTGCTCTTCTGGAGATCTGAGATTTCAGTCTGAAAAATTAACCACCTGTTTTAACTAAAATTCAGCAAAGAATGCATACCATTATAATATTAAAGAAACAATAGTAAATGGGGAGGATAAAATATAGTTTGAATTTTAAAGGACATATAACTTAGTCTGATAGAAAATGAAATGCAAATTACATGGTACTATTCTGACTCACCAACATAGAAAAGAAATTGAAATGTATGTAGTAAAGTGCTTGTCATTTATTTAAAAATCATTTTAGCAAGGGTTCCTTACAAAAGCTGGAATACCCATTAACACAGTCAGTAAAAATAACACAAGAAGAAACATCATGTGGAATAAAAGACTAATCAAAATTAAGAGGTACACTAATGATTATATGAAATAACTCAGCAGTTGAAAGTTTCATGTTACAAATTTAATACTAGAGCCATAATTAGAAAAGTTGGTGATTGAACATATAAATCTTTTTTAAAAATAATTGGGGAATCAATATATGATGGAAATGCCAGTTTGATTGCAAAAGTAATTGAAAGGCAAAAGACGATGTATGGAATTTTAAGGTAAGATAGTAAAGTCCAATAACAGCATATTGTTTTACAGAGAGTAAATGCAAACAAATAAAGAAAAGCCTAGAAAATCTTCAACAACAACAACAAAAATAACAAAGACGTAAAATTTTATACAATACATTTCTAAACCTAGCAGTGAAAGAGATTGCTACTGGGGTCGGCATACAATTCTATCTTCACTTTCCTCTATGTCTCTCTCAAAAAGTATACATTTTAAAAAAAGAAACACCGTGAAAATTGATGTGAATATATTCATATTCGTACAGAAACACACTGAAGGATAAGATAGCAGCTGAACATGAAAATAAATAAAAATCTCAAAGAGTAAGTTTTTCCACCAATTAATTTAATGGAGCTCAGCTAATGCCTTCTGGCCAATCATAAATGTAATGAAGGCCAACAAAAAAAATCAGACTATCCCTAGCTACGAAGAAAACCTTAGCAACATAAACCAATAAAA
Organism: Homo sapiens; assembly: GCF_000001405.40. Taxonomy (NCBI): domain Eukaryota; kingdom Metazoa; phylum Chordata; class Mammalia; order Primates; family Hominidae; genus Homo; species Homo sapiens. The sequence goes on along the minus strand of NC_000009.12, from coordinate 30,170,057 downwards.
GAATAAAAGACAACATAATAAAAGAAAGTAGAAATTTAGGAAGCAAGAAATACATTGGAATTCCCAGTGAGGGTGCCTTTCCCCCAGGCCTCTCTACTGTAGCAGTAAACAAAGACAGGGACCCAAAACTATAGGTCCTAATTTTACGCTTTTCTTTTGAATTTATGAGTGAAAATGACAGCTGATGAAAGAAGATATTTAAAATTCAGAAACAATATCCAAAGTTGATACTTTCCCAGGTTCCAAAATCTAATGGACTTCTCTATAAAAATAAAAGATAGTTTTAATTCAGTTGGGTAAACCTTATATATGGTCCATTTAATAAAATAAGAGCTTGAAAAATATACCTAGGTTCACCAACCAAGATTAGTCACTGCCACCTAAAAATAAATACAACTAAAAACACAAAATCAATCTTTAAGTTATATTTCTATAGAGAAGATAAACAGCTCCCAAAGTAGTGAGGAGGGAGTCAAATAAAGTCACAGAAAACACAATACTATTTGATGTAATTTGCTTATTTGAAAAACGTGGAGGAAGATAAAGGAAAAAATATGGCAACATTAAAAGGGAAATTCTACTTAACAAAAAAAAGGAGAAAAGAAGCATAGCAAGTACAAGTAATGAGAATTAATTTTTGAATTAAATTATCATACAGAGTATTAAATTTACACCTAGATGCCCAGTGCTGTAGCTGGAAACAATAAGAATGTAAACTTATTGAGTACAGGTATATCATTGGATCATATGAGTCAGTGTTTGCTAAGACTCAAACACACACATACAAACACACAATATACATTCATTGGCAAAAAGAAGTAATCATGTATTTCTCATGTGTTTGCAAGTCATCTGGGGTCCCTTTGCTGATATAAACTGATACTGGATATATGATTTTAGACTACAGGTTCAGTTCTTATTTACTCCCTGTATCTCTTCTACCCCTCAAACCAATAGGCTAGCCAGGGCATGCTTATGTAATGGCAATGGCAGAAGCACGAGAGAGCAAGCCATAATGTGTGAGTACATCTCTATCCCTAGCTGGGCCTAATAATCCCTAGCTGGTTACCAATATCCCATTGGGAAAAGCAAATCTCATGACCAAAATATGTTAAGGGGCTCAGGCTACACTGTACATCTGTGACATTAACAGCAAAGCTATATGACAAAGGAATTGGATACAGAAACAGGAGAAGAATTGAAGTCAATAATGTAACCTACCATAATATCGTAGATAAAATGTTAAAGTGAGATCATGAGAACTACAGAAATATATATAAATGTATTTATAAAGGACAAAAACACCATTTACAACTAAAATAATATGTCTAGGGTAGCATGGAATCAAATGGAGGGCTGAAAACTAAATTGTAAACACAGAATAGCTTATGATACAGTGAAATCAAAGCAAAAAGACAATGAAATGATGAGGCAACAAAATATGTAGAACAAACATTATGCAACATAGCTATAAGTGATGTTCACAAGGAAGTAAAATCAACATATGATATTAAAAATCTATCTCTTAAAACATGCCCCCAGACAATAGACAAAATGGACTCCCCATAGCTAACTGAGGTGGTCAAAGCTAAAACAGAATTAGGCGGCCATGGCTGGGTGAGGGAGAGGTCACACACTCTGTGTCCTCAGAAAAATATTGTAAAAATGTCACAGGTCTTCCCTTTCTAAAATCAAGCCAAACTAGTTCCTGTTTCCTTGCCAAGATAAACTATGGCCAGAAACCCCTGCCCCAACCAGCCATTTGAAAGAAACATCTGACAGACTTCTGGCTTCTAATGTGGAAATTCCAATCTGGTCAATGATTTCAACCAATCGGAGCTGAACAAGTTTGAAATTTTCATTTACATGAAAGGATTTGATGGAGAACCAGGATGAGAACTTTCCCTATTTGAGCCAGACCCTCCCTATGGTCTTCTGAGAGCACATTTTCACTTATACTAGAGGCTGTGCCTCCCCAATCTGAAGACTGCATTCTTTTATAGAAAATAAAGCTTTCCCTTTTTCTCTGAACATCTCATATTTCTTTTTCAAGGTATTTAAGGTTGTAATGAAAGGGAAAAATCTACTAAATAAAGTCATAACAAAATAACATGTCTTGAAGATTGTAAAGCACAATTGTGCAAAAGACATTAACATAAAATAACAAAAACTCAGTTCCATACTGTTTTGATTACCATAGCTTTGAAGTATATTTTGAAATCAGGTATTGTGTGCTTCCAGTTTTGTTCTTTTTTGCTCAAGCTTGCCTTGGCTATTCGGAGTCACTTGGGATTCAATACAAATTTTAGGAATACTTTTTCTATTTCCGTGAAAAATGTTATTGGAATGTTAACTGTGATGTGTAGAATACTTTAGTTGGTATGGACATTTTAGTTATATTAATTCGTCCAATCCATTAACACAGTATATATTTCCATTTATTTATATCTTCTTCAATTTCTTTCATCAATGTTTTATAGTTTTCCATGTACAGATATTTCATCTTCTTCATTAAATTTATTCCTAGGTATTTTTTGTAGCTCTTGTAAATGGGATTGTTTTCTTGATTTGTCAGATATTTTGTTGTTAGTGTATAGAAACACTACTGATTTTTTATGTCAATTTTGTATCCTGAAATTACTTGTTATTAGTTTGAATAGTTTTTTGTTAGAGTCTTTAGAGTTTTCTATATATAAGATCACGTCATCTGTAAACAGACACAATTTAACTTATTCCTTTCTGATCTCAATGCCTCTTATTTTATCCTTTTGTCTAATTCCTCTGGCTGGAACTTATAGTACTATGTTGAATGGGTGGCAAGAGTAGATATCCTTGTCTTAATCCTGATCTTTGTACCAGCCCAAAAACAAACAAGTAGACTAATGAAACAGGATAGAGAACATAGAAATAAATCCTTGGAATCATAACCAACTCTATTGTCAATAAAGATGCCAAGAACACACCATGGGAAAAAGACAGTCTCTACATTAAATGGTGTTGTGAAAACAGGATATCCACATGCAGAAAAATTAAATTAGACCATTATTTCATACCCTACAGAAAATCAACTGAAATCAACTCAAGATGGATCAAAGACTTAAACGAAAGACCTAGGACCATACAAATCCTAGAAGAAAACCTGGGCAATATGATTCAGGACATAGTCATGGGCAAAGATTTCATGTCTAAAACACCAAAAGCAATGGCAACAAAAGACAAAATTGACAAATGGGATCTAATTAAACTAAAGAGCTTCTGCACAGAAAAAGAAACTATCATCAGAGTGAACAGGCAACCTACAGAATGGGAGAAAATTTTTGCAATCTATGAATCTGTCAAAGGGCTAATATCTAGAATCTACAAAGAACTTAAACAAATTTATAAGAAAAAACAAACAACTCCATCAAAAAGTGGGCAAAGGATATGAAAAGACACTTCTCAAAAGAAGACATTTATGCAACCAACAAACATATGAAAAAATTCTCATCAACACTGGTCATTAGAGAAATGCAAATCAAAACCACAATGAGATACCATCTCACACCAGTTGGATTGGTGATGATTAAAAAGTCAGGAAACAACAAATGCTGGAGAGGATGTGGAGAAATAGGAATGCTTTTACACTGTTGGTGGGACTGTAAACTAGTTCAACCATTGTGGAAGACAGTGTGGTGATTCCTCAAGGATCTAGAACTAGAAATACCATTTGACCCAGCAATTTCATTACTGGGTATATACCCAAAAGATTATAAGTCATGCTACTATAAAGACACATGCATATGTATGTTTATTGTGGCACTATCCACAATAGCAAAGACTTGGAACCCACCCAAATGTCCATCAATAATAGACTGGATAGAGAAAAGGTGGCACATACACTGCATGGAATACTATGCAGCCATAAAAAAGGATGAGTTAATGTCCTTAGCAGGGACATGGATGAAGCTGGAAACCATCATTCTCAGCAAACTATCACAAGGACAGAAAACCAAACACCGCATGTTCTCACTCATAAGTGGTATTTGAACAATGAGAACACATGGACACATGGTGGGGAACATCACACACAGGGGCCTATTGGTGGGGAGCTAGGGGAGGGATAACATCAGGAACATCAGGAGAAATACCTAATCTAGGTGATGGGTTGATGGGTGCAGCAAACCACCATGGTATGTGTATACCTATGTAACAAAACTGCACATTCTGCACATGTACCCTAGAACTTAAAGTGTATAAAAAAAAAAGAAAAAGAAAATGCATTAGACACTTCAACATAAAACCTGAAACTCTTAAACTACTCAAAGCAAACCTAGGGAAACAGCTTCATGACATTCATCTGGGCAATTATTTTTTTGGATATGACTCCTAAAACATAGACAACCAAAGCAAAAGTAGATAAATGTGATTGCATCAAACTAAGCTTCTGCACAGCAAAGAAAACAACAGAATGAAGAGACAACCTATGAAATATGAGAAAATATTTATAAACCATAAATCTGATACAGGGCTAATATCAAAAATATTTAAGGAACACAAACAATTCAATAGTTAGAATGTAAATAACCTGATGAAAAAAAATGGACGAAGGACCTGAAAAGACATTTTTCAAAAAAGGATATAAAAGTAGCCAATAGGTATATGGAAAAATACTCAACATCACTAATCAGCAAGAAAATACAAACCACAATGAAATATCAACTCACAAATGTTAGAAGGCTATTATCAAAATGACAATAGATAAGTATTGGTGAGGATATGGAGAAAAGAGAACCCTTATAAACTGTTAGTGAAAATGTAAATTAGTACAGCCAATATGGAAAACAGTTTGGAAGTTCTTGAGAAAAACTAAAAATTGAACTACCATATGTTCCAACAGTCCCTTTTCTGGGTATATATGCAAAGGAACTACATTCAATATGTTGAAAGATATTCACACTCCCATGTTGTTTGTGGATTTATTCTCAATACCTAAGATGTAGAATCAACCATCAATATATAAATTGTCCACCAATGAATGAATTAATAAAGAAGATTTTATATGCACCTGTAGGCAACACATACACACACACACACACACACACACACACAACAAAACTATTCAGCCTTTGAAAAGAAGGAAATCTTGTAATTCGCAAGAACATGGATGAACCTCGAGGACACTGTGTTAAGTGAATTAAGCCAGGCACAGAAAGACAATATCACGTGATCTCATTTGTTTGTGGAATCTGAAAAGGTTGAACTTATAGAAACAGAGAGTAGAATGACAATTATCAGGGGCTTAGTGGAGGGGAGGGGATTGGGGAAGATGTTGGTTAAAGAATACAAAATATCAGTTAGGAGGAATATGTTCAGGAGATCTATTGTACAACATGGTGAATATAATTTAGAGCAAAGTAATGTATACTTGAAAATTGCTAAGTGTGTAGATTTTAAATGTTCTTACCACAAAAAAGTATAACATAATGCATATGTTGATTAGCTTCATTTAGGCATGTCACCATATATGTATGTTTCGTATTGCACACTATAAATAATGCAATTTACTTATCAACTAAAAAATAAAAAAAAACAGAGACAAATCATAATTTTTATTAAAGAAATATTTGTCTAGAGAGATAAAAAGAAATCTTTATAATGGATGCAAAGAATCAAGCTTGTTTTGAATAGCTCAATAACAATATGAAATTACAGAATTTAAAGAAATAACATATGCAATTTATTCCTTAATGTAATGATTGTATTTCTTACCACTGATTATATTTTCTACTAGAAAATAAATATGAACTTTTATTTCTATGACAAGATAACTCTTATCAGATGAAACATTTTGATGAAAACAAGAATATAATCTGAATAAGCCTTCCATTTCTAGGTAGAATGTAGACAGGTGCAAGAAACTCGTTCCCAGTCTAACTAGAGTAGCCTAGATAAGGCATAATAGTTTTAAAAACTATGCTCATCAAAGAGCTGAGGGCACAGAGAAACCCAAGTCAATAAAATTCCAGAAATGTAAAGAGAAATTTTATTTTCTCTGTTGAGGACAGGGAAAACTAACAACAAAGAAACAGAGCTTCATCAGGACACTGAAACTCTGTGGTGCATAATATTTTCACCTGTTAAATGAAAGATTATATCACATTAGCTTTCTAAAACTTTTAGGAATTATTTACACAATTAGCAAATAGATAATGCTTTCTTTGTTTACCATAGCCATCCAATATGCATTATCACATATTTTTTTCTGTAGAAGCCATAAAATATAATAAATGCTTTTGATAAAAATACATATAAATGTGTGTTATATTTTAATGCTATCACTTGAATGATTTTAAAAGCATAATATTTCAGAACAGTAAATAATAGAATAGAATGAAGACTGCAGAAACCACCAACTAAGGTGTGAAATTTTTACTTCAATAAATTTAAATAAACAAATTTAAGGAGAAGTGGGCTCAATAAATTTAAAAAAAATGTATTTCTGATGAAGCATCATTACTCTTGTCAAATGAAATATAATTAATTCAGTGAATTTGGTCTCCAGTTCTGTAACTTGAAATGAATTATTATATTTAGGTTATTTGAGATAATTTGCTAAGTGTTTTGGCTCACAGTAGAGTATTACTTACTTTATATGATTCTATAATATCTCATAAAGTTAGAAAAACATTAGGCACTTAATGAATTAGATACCTTTGTCGGATTTAAAGATCATTAACTTTTGAGTTAAGTGCAATTTTAATAATGAAGACATTAGCTCATATATTACACACATGACATTTCAACATGTTCATTACATCTAAACATCATTACCTATACAATAGTAATTCTATTTTTGAAGGCTTATTCTCTGCTTTCAAGTTAAAATTCTAGTTTTTGTTTTAAATATATTTTATATAAAAATTGCTGATTTCCACAGGGTGTTAGGGTCTTTTTATCTCTTATTGTTTCCAAGCATTTTAAATATATACATATATGTATTGTGATAAGTTTAACTAATTGAAGATTTATAGAACTATGTTTGCTAATTAATTTACTCATTAAATAATATTGAAAACTTATTGTGAAATGTCAGAGACTTTGTTTATAACAGAATATGACTAATTTAATGATGGCTACCCCACATCTTAAATAGACTATTACAGAGTCAAGTATAGTCAAAATTTCTAATTAATAGAAAGTGTTTTACTCTTCATTTTTGATTTTGTTACTTTAAATTATATAAAACTACCATTCTCACAATTCAACAATGCTGAAAATGATCATTCTTATTGTTCAGCCCAATATCCTTCACTATGTCAGTTTTAATGTTGTAAAAGAAAATGAGAAGGTAATAGAAAAGAATATTAGCAATGGTCATTTATATTATAAAATTAATAATAATTTTTTAAAAATACTTATTATTTACATTTCTAAACGGAGCATATATAAATCAGAATATCATGACTTTTCATTTGTCAAACATATTATTGACTATGAAGCAAGTAATATAAAATCGCATATGTGGGTTTTCCCTTCAGCTACTGCTGGCTCTGAATCAACAATTATTCCAGAACTCGGTATACTTGGGTATATATTGTTTAGAATTTTGTGTGTATAAGTATTACCACATTTCTCTAAAACTCACTTAATTCTTGAAACTATTTTTACTATTGGGACAGACACTGCTGTTCATCAAGAAACCATATTTCTTCTGCATCTTGAGTATGGATATAGACTACAATTCCTACTTTCTTTTTTTTTTTTTTTTTTTTGAGATGGAGTTTCGCTCTTGTTGCCCAGGCTGGAGTACAGTGGCGCGATCTCAGCTCACTGCAACCTCCAACTCCTGGGTTGAAGCGATTCTCCTGTCTCAGCCTCCCGAGTAGCTGAAACCACAGGCATGCACTGCCACGCCTGGCTAATTTTGTATTTTATTTGTTATTTATTTTTTATTTTTTATTTTTAGTAGAGATGGGATTTCTCCATGTTGGTCATGCTGTTCTCAAACTCCCGACCTCAGGCGATCTGCCCACCTCAGCCTCCCAAAGTGCTGAGATTACAAGTGTAAGTCACCGTGCCTGGCCTACAATTCCTACTTTCACAGCCAGATGTGACTATGGGAACTGAGATCCAGCTAAGGCGATATTGGTGAAAGTGATGTGGGCCATTATAGTGCTTTTAAGACATGTGTTAACTGTCTTTGCATTTCATTTCTCAATCAACTGGCCAGGACCCTATGATGATGAAACCCAAGAGATGTTAGAGTTCAATAAATAAATCACCACCTAGGGGAGAGGCACCTGCCAATGAGAAACACCTGACTCAGGCTGTTACATGATGGAGAAAACAAACTTCTATTATATTGGTGTAATTCTTACGACAATCTATCCTACCTAATACAACCATTAACCTAATGTGTATTGGGTAAGCAAAAGATGTGTTCAGAAAAAGTCAATTATGTCCTGGTAAAAAGTACAAGTTTTTTTTAAAGTGTTTGAAAAATTTATATAATGACTTACAAAACTGCGACATGACTTCTGGATTAGTAACTGTGCTTAATTAT